>NC_000007.14:143852319-144003834 GCF_000001405.40 Homo sapiens
TCTGAAATTAGTCTGCTGGATAGCTGTCACTCTAGGGTGAGATACCCTTTTGGCTGTCACTCTAGAATGAGACATCCTAAGTAAGGTCCACTGTTTTATGGATCCCATTTCTTCTTCTTTCCTGGTTTTCATCCTCATTTTGCTGGAGAATTTCCTCAAGATACTTCCTCAGTAAGGGTGCAAAGGAGACTTTCTGAAAATTTGCCTGACAGAAAATGTCTTCACTTTGATGTTCTTCTTGACAGTCTGCCTTACTATGAAATTCTAGGTACAAAAATTTTCCTTAAGCTCTGAAGATGTTGATCCATTGACTTCTGGCATTCAGTGTTGCTGATGACAAATCTGTTAGCAGTCTATTTCTCATCCATTTTTGTGTTGAGCTAATCGTGATGACCTCATTTGTTTTCTCCCTGGCCACTTTAATATCTTCCTTCTATCCTTAATATTCCAAAATTTTACAATATTGTGTCTAGATGTAGATTGTATTGGGCCCTCTCAATCTGGAGACTTAGCTTGCTCTGTTCTTCAATTCTTTTTCTTTTTATTTCTTCACCTACACTGTCTCTGTTCTCTCTTCCAGGAACTCCTAACATTACATATTGATTGTCTATGTCTTTTTTCTTTCTTTATATTTTTCTATCTATTTCTTTTTGCTCTTTATCTGGAGAGATTCCCTCAACTTTATTTTCCAGACTGTATACCAAATACTTTTAGCAGTCTTATTTTATTTTCAAAGAGATCTTCTTATTCTCAGTCTTCTCTTTCTTTTCTTGCTTTTTAAGAGACAGGGTCTCACTCTGTCCCCCAGGCTGGAGTGCAGTGGCACCATCATGGCTCACTGAAGCCTTGAACTCCTGGGCTCAAGTGATCTTCCCACTTCAGCCTCCCAAGTAGCTAGGACCACAGGCACATGCCACCATGCTTGGCTAATTTTTAAAAATTATTTTGTAGAGACGGGATGTTGCCATCTTGCCTAGGCTGGTCTCGAACTCCTGAGTTTTCCGTTTCTTTGTAGTATCCTGTTTTTCATCTTAAATACACCTCAAATCTCTCTGGAGATGGAATTAAAATTAAGTTATTCTTTCCACATTGTCTTTGTTTCCCTCAGAGTTTGTCATATTTTCAAGGCCCCTAATTCTACCTCGTGACTTTTCTTATTCCTCTTCCCTCCCCATCGCCCATGTCTGGGAATTTCTAACTCACCATTCCCATTTAAAAATCAACATAACTGTTAACTTGTATAACAGTTGGCATGGGTTTCCTCTGCTGTTGTACAGTTAGGTCTGTTTCTTCAGGAAACCTCTTCTATACCTGAAGGCAACAGGCACTTGAGTAGGAGGTCTCAGCTGTCAGTAGAGAATTAGCTGACCGGCTGGGGGTAGGGGCACTTATTTCCACTAGAAGAGAAATTTTTTTCTGGAGCACCAACTCTTATCTCTCTGCAAGCAGCCTGTTCAATTCCTTTATACAAACAACAACAGCAACAATAACAAGAAATTTTTAACTGGTATCAATAGTGGAGACTGCCTGTGTTCTGTGCATAAGAGTTGGGGGAGAGTAGGAGAGGGCTCAATCTTACAACTGGAGTAATTCTTCAGTAGACAAGCTTTTCAGGTGCGCAAGTCTCTTTGGGGTTATGTTGTTCAGATCAGCTTACATTTTATCTGAAAGGTTCTTCACTCTTTCATTATCATGCTTCATCCACTTTCTATCTTCCAGAAATATGCTGAGATCCTCTCCACTTATAACCAAATCCCTTCAGTTTTCTTTGCTGAGATGTGTCAGTTCCTTTTTGCATTTCTTGACTTCAATTTCAGTGGGGCCTGGGGAGGGAGGGAAGGTAAACTTATGTTTACTCCATTATCTCAAATTAGAAATTCCAGTGGAGGCTTTTAGACACGGAAGTAACATGGATAACTTTATATTTTAAATATATCCCCGGGATGTACTGCTAAAAATATATTAAAGAGGGCAAGGATGGATACACATATTCTCAAAGATGGAGGATCTAATTTCCTCTCTGAGAACATGCAGTGTTTGGGATCTCTGGGAGTCAGGCACTTCACTGAAATAGTCCATCATTCAAAATCCAACAAACTAGAGAACACTTTCATGGTACCCTAGAAAGAATAACTGAAACTTGAGTAATGCAGAACCTAAAAGATCTGGCTGATGCTAAAGGGCTCACTCCAGCACTATCTATTGGGAAGCACTTCAGGAGCCTACCTTAAATTCTTTGAATTGTCATTTGGGATAAACAAAATGATTTTTTGTTCTGATAAAAGTAGATGATAGGTAAGTATATGCAGCCAAAGCTCTGGCAAGTAGGAACATAATGATCCTTTGGTTTGCTGGTCGGCTTCTTTATTTACCCATTGATGGGGTCATTCAAAGCACTGTAGTTATGAATGCCCATTCTGTAATCAGAATGCCTGAATTCAAATCCCAGATCAACCACTTATTAGCAATATAGCCTTAGATAATTTACCTTATCTTCCTTAACTTCAGTTCTCTCGTTCATAAAATAAAATGGGAGTGATAATGGTTGCCATGTCATGAGATTATTGTGAAGATTAAATGAAACAATCTATAGAAAGGAATCACTACAATAACTGGTACACACCCAATAATTGATAACAATTATTTTAAATGTTGAACAAATATCCAATGTCTCATGTTTAAAGCACCTAGGCAATGGATATTTGTGCAATCAGGAGAAATAATCCTAGGACCGACAAATAACATGACAAAGAAATCTACTGGGAGGCCGAGGTGGGTGGATCACCTAGGCCAGGAGTTCGAGACCAGCCTGGCCAACATGGCAAAACCCCATCTCTACTAAAAATACAAAAAATTAGCTGGGTGTGGTGGTGGGCACCTGTAAGCCCAGCTACTTGTGATGCTGAGGCAGGAGAATCGCTTGAACCTGGGAGGTAGAGGGTGCAATGAGCCGAGACGGTGCCATTGCACTCCAGCCTGGGTGACAAGACTGATACGCTATCTCAAACAAACAAACAAAAATCCAAAGAAAAAACTCTATAGGTCAAATCTTACAGTCTACATATCTACCCAATTACCAATTAAGCAAATAAAATGATATATTAAAATAACTAAAATAAAAAGTGAGCTAAAGAAAAACTGGCTGGATGTATATGACATCAACCAAAAGGACCCAACTTTAGTTAAAACTGTAAAGAAATAGGGGATTCTGAATAAAATTAAAAAGAAATAAGTTTGGGTCAACTCTATCCAATCATCTTGTTTCAGAGTAAAGTCCTCTATGTGTGTGGACTTCGTCTGCCAAACTGTTGAGTAACTCTTGACAGGCACTATGTCTTGAATCTGTGTTACAGAAATAAAAACACTGTCATGAAACCAGATACCCTCTGTTTGCTAAGGACAAATGTCATTATGGAATTGATCTGGTTTCTTCAAGACATCTACTCTTGATTTAATCAAAGAAGGAATTGGATCTGTAAAATACAATTGGATAAGGAGATCCAAGGAAGAGCTCCAAATTCACAATGAGGTTCTTATAAATAGCTTTACAAATCTAAGTTAAAAAGAAACAAAATTTTTTAGCTATTTAAAAAAACCCATTGTGAATTTAGAGTTCTTCCTTTAGATTCATAAGGCAACATAGCAGAATCCTTTCAGAAGTTGCTGTATAAAGTGCAAGATGGGCTAGGATTAACTACAACTGCCTCTGTAAATGTCATCTAAAAATAAAGTCTAGCTCATAAAGAGTATTGAGTCAATTAGATAATAATAATGGCAGCAGACATTTTCTCAACACCTACTACCTGCCAGGGACGGTTCTCATTGCTTTTTAAAGGTATTATAAAATGTAATCCTCACAATGATCCTATGAGATAGATCCTATTTTATAGATGAGAAAACTAAATCACAGAGAAGTTAAGGAAATTGCCAGGGTTATACAACTCGTAGGTGAAAGAACCAGGATTTGAACACAGGGAAGCTACTTGTAGAGAGAGTTATCCTAACCTCTAAATTCTGGAGACAGGATGGAAAGTAGTAAGCTCATTATCCTGTGGACCAGCATAAAATAGAAAATCCCCTTAGATGACATGCTCTGCAGACCTCACAAGCCTCTTCAGAATTTATCACTCTGAACCTCCACGACAACCCTGTGAACTGGGAATTTTTATCCCCATTTTACACACAGGAAATGAGAGTACCAAGTTGAAATGACTTTCCCGAGAGCTAACCCTACCTAGTTCTGGGCTCTTCCCACTATACCAGAATGCTTGTCTACTTTGAAAACTACTCAAGTCACAAAATATATGAGTCCATCCAAGAGCTATCTGGGTCTCACGGTAAATTTGTGTTCCAGTTGAGTTTTATGGTCAAGTTTTTGGAACAACTGTTCAAAAACAAAAGCCCAAAGGGAGTCTTCAGGATGCCAACATGAGAACTACCCCCTCTGGGCTATGACCTATGATGGTGAATCCAGGGCTGATATAGAAGCAGGTGCCAAAGCTCTTGGAACTGGGCCAGTGCAGGGTCAGGAGGGAATGTGACAGCTGAAAGCAGACGAACAAGATGCAGAAACAGAAGCCCTTGCACCTGAGAAATTCTGATTCCACTTTTGGCTGTGTTCTGAACCCACTTCCTAGAGACAGAGGTCGGTAATAAGGTATAGGGCAATGAACTAAGAGGACAAGGCCAGACCCTGGGAGGCAGAGGTAGAGGAGTGAATCCCCACCTCTGCCTACCTCCCCAAACCTCTCTACCTGCCACCTCGATGGGCACTCCTTACATCTGTGTGAGGAGGTACAATTTCATAATATTTTCCTTCCATTCAGGCAGATAGGCCAGGCTGGTAGCCACTTCCTTCTGGATGGGCCAGGCCCAGGCCTCAAAGAACGGAGCCAGGTTCTTCTGCACTTGGTGGGAGAACATCTTGACCCACAGATTCATTTTGTCAACATTTTCTGTGGGCAAGTTGGTCTGGTTCCTGTACTCGGTGAAGAGACGGATGAATGGCTCCCAACCAAAGGCTTCCTGGAGCTGGGAAGAGAAAGAAAAATACAGATCAGATTTGGAAATAAAAAAGGGTCCAACAACAACCACTATAATAAGTGAACTTAGTATATGTAACCCCTTACCCATCAGCTTCACGTCTATCACCGACCTGCTCTCCTCCATTTTGCCTCCTGGCCTCATGCCCTGCTCTTCCACATTCTAATCTTAGGAAGGGCCTTGGGACCAGCACGGTGTTCAACACCAAGTGGATACTAAATCAGTGAGGGCCATGGTAACAACTGCAATGATTAATATCAATATTTTCTACCAGTATCATTACCCACGTATCCCACTAGATCACGCAAATAGAGATAGGATATTACACAAGGATTTAAAATTGGCAGAATTGGAAAAATCCTCTTCTCAAGAGTTGAAAAGTGAAACCTCAACAATAGGGAAACTTCCACCTCATCCTGGCACAAAGAAATCCTCATTAATCATAGATCTTTGTCAATGTGCAAGGGTATTAAAATGGCTTTTGGGGAAAAAAAGTGAGTTGGATAGAAGTAGAAGACTGCAGATTGTCTGGGTAACTAGAATTAAGAATAAGTTGTAATTTTTGAAAAAGGCAGCCATCTTGAGGCTGTTGAGTTACAGAGCTTGAATTATGAGGCACTTGAGCAGTTCCCCAGACCAACTTCACATTTATTTCACCAATGAGAAACTTGGTGTTCCTGGGGCAAAGCAGCCATAACAAGGTTAAAGTGGAGCCTCCTTGGTTTTCCCATAATTCTCACGGCAGTGGGAATGAATAAGAGAGCCTCCAGCAGGTGGAAGAACCAGAATAGAGCATGCTTGGCCTGAGACTGAGTTCTGAAATTCAAGGTGATGAAACTCTCCAGTTTCATGCCAGGAACTGATCCAGGCATTGCAGGGAGGGAACTAGGCATTAAACAACTGGTCAAAGGCAAGGCCACCTCCTTGTCCAGGTCAGTGAGGACTCTTGGATTGCCTACATAATGGGGGCTCTGAGGCACGGCCAAGGCATAGTGAGAAGATGGTACATTCATCTAAGGAAAAAAAAAATAAGTCATATCCTATGGATTATGTGTATGGTTGGGGGGAACTGGTTTTAGATAGCTATTAAGTAGGAGAGTTTGGCTTCAGTCTCAGGTATGTCTGGCTTTAAAGCCAGAGAGAGTGAATATATGTATAGTACTTTATTTGTCTCTACCATTTTTAACCTTTCTCAGTGCTTTCTATTTACTATCATATATCTCTATGGGGTGGAAGGTGAGGCTCAGGCAATGAAATCCACTTGAGGGTCATGCAAGGCGATGCACTAAGAGACATCATCAATACGACTGTCACAGTTGGACTTTGTCAGGGCCTCCCATATCCCAGTGTGGGAGACAGGGGCCATGGGTGGTCTTCTGGGCCACTAGAACATTATCCGATAGTTGCCCTGATGGTCCCCGCAGTAGGGGTCCCCCATCACCCGCCATTCTTGCCCAGTACCTGTAAATACGTTTCCAGTGCGGTCCATGCATTCCAGTTTTTCACATTGGGACCCTTGCTCAGGTAGATTCTGACTCTCTTCTCCCGAACTGGGGGCCACAGAGCAATATTGGCACGGCTTCGAGGAATGCCCAAGACCGTCTCATGCACATACACACACCACAGGTTGCAGGTGGCCTCGGTGGTGTGTGGTGGGAACTCCCACTCCTGCCGCTGCTGGTTGCGGCCCAGCTCATGGACGGGGCCCCACAGCCCCTTGGTTCTGATGAGCTTCTCGTTGATGAGCTCCTGCACTGACTCCAGATGGCACATGATGGGGTACCCTGCATGCATCCAGCCTGGAAAATGCAGAAGGAGGGAAGAGAGAGTTAGGGTCCTCCCCATTTAAGTCGTAATATTCTTCTATGTTTTGTGTGTGTTCCAAAACACTCAGTAACCCCAGCCAAATTCCAGCACACCATAATACTCAGAAAAGCAACCCAAACCAAGACCCTGCTAGGTGTTCCTTCTCCTCTTTTCATTCTGGAAGAATTCCTTCATCTCTACTCTGACCCAGAATAGTGTGGCTATGGAAGGAGATGCAGCTTATATATAAGGAGCTGTTCATGTTACCATTCAATTTTTCTATTTTGATGAGGATGCCTTATCCATGTGAATCTGTGTCACTATAACCTTTTCTCAAAATTCAGAGCTCTTTAAGGGTAGCTCCTCTCTCATTGTTCAGATATGGAGTTGCCATATCAACACAAGTTTACAGTGAACATCCGTATAAGAAAGAAAATGAGGGTCCAGAGAAATTCCCATGGTTCTTTAATGTCTGTATATTTCCCTCACTTTTCATGTTCCTTGACCATAGGCAAAGATCGCTTTATTCAGTGTGTTCTTAAAGTTGTAAAATTCCCTTTTCCAACCCAACAACTCTGACCTAGGTCACGGCCCTCTGCCATTTTTACCGGCTTGAAGTCCCTGATGAATACCTGTGAAAGCTCAGGTGGCATTTCTTGATGTCCTTGACATGCTGACCTAAACTGTTTTATATACACATATACATATATACATATATATAATATATATTATATAATATATATTACGGAATATATATTATATAATATATATTATATAATATATATTACGGAATATATATTATATAATATATATTATATAATATATATTATATAATATATATATAATATATATTATATATTATATATATAATATATAATATATATTATATATATTTCCTTCCCATTTAAATAACAAGGATACATCTATATGTCTTGCTAGCAAAATATGTTTCCCCTACTGGCTGCCCACTGCATGGCTGATGAAAGACAGGAAGGCGCTCAGAGGCAGCATGCACAGAGGGTTTGCTTGGAGCACCCACCCACTGAGATCTGCACGTCGGCAACAATCCTCTGAGGCAGGCGCAAAGGGAAGGGCTCAGCTCCCAGTCGCGCCACAGCCTGCATCACCTCATCCCAGAGGCGGAGCAGCGGCTCAGGGTTCTCCAGAGTACGAAGATTTGCGGTCGGCACGGTCAGAATGATGTTGTCCGTGGCCAGCTCTCCCCAGGGCCCTGGATTCTCCTGGATACGCCTCTTCCACTCCTCCAGGGTGGTCTCCCCTAGGAAGAGAGACCATGGAGCTTGAAATCCTTTCCCAAATCCCTTAAATTACAACATACAACTTAGACTCCAGGAAGAGAACAACAAAATCATGAACTGCCATATCCCTCCTCTTTTTTAAAAAATGTAAAGTTCCGGGATACATGTGCAGGACGTGCAGGTTTGTTCCATAGGTAAACATGTGTGATGGTGGTTTGCTGCACCCATCAACCCATCACCTAGGTATTAAGCCCAGCATGCATTAGCTATTTATCCTGATGGTCTCCCTCCATCCACCCCCGCTACCCACCCCACTGACAGGCCCCAATGTGTGTTGTTCCCCTCCCTGTGTCCATGTGTTCTTATTGTTCAGCTCCCACTTACAAGTGAGAACACGTGGTGTTTGGTTTTCTGTTCCTGTGTTAGTTTGCTGAGGCTATATCCCTTTTCTCTATCCTTCTATGAAGTCTCCAAGGATGTGGTTTGGTCTTTATCTGTACAACCCCAAAGCTGAATCTAAGGAAGCTGACCCTTATTCCTCTGTTAGCCCGTGTCTCTCTCCTTCTGCACCAAACAGACTCTAGTCACCTCCTGGACTCCCATGCTCTCTGGAATCCTCATCTCAGTTCTTCCCCTTCCCTCAGGGGCACCCAGAGCTCCCACTCACCCAGCTTGTAGTATGGAGCATGCACAGCCCCCTTCACGGTGACAGGCACAGAACCCAGTTTGCTGTTCTGAGGCACAATTATATAGAGGAGTCCACCCCAGAGGCACGTGATCGATTTTGTGGGTTTGTCCAAGCAGCACCGGTTAATTACGAGTGGGCCTCGGAAAAGCTTGCTGGCCCTGGTCAGGTCATCTGTGTGGCAGCCAATCTGTATCTGGAGCAGAAAGATCCCCCCCTCAAGGAGTCACCATGGGGCACGAGTGGGTGGAAGAAGAGAGCCCAGCAAGGGACTCAGGATGGGTCATTCAGCCATGAACCCAAGCGAGCCCAGCCTTCCCACCACAGATGAACCATGTGTGATACCCCAAGAAACTGTAGCATTCCTTGGGGCATATGGACTGAAGTATATATAAATATTTTCCCAAAGCATTCAAACAGCTCCATAATGGGTCATGTTAGATAGACATTAATGTGAGAAGTGCCAGGTGTAACCTGTAAGGCCAATTCTGAGGAGGGCTGACTCCCACACCCGGTCTCCTGGTGTTGCTAACAAATAGAACACTTGATCGCCTATCTCATGGTGGTGATTCTGGCATTTGGAATGGGGCAGAGGGAACCCTGCCTTTTGCTGATCAGAGAGAGGGCCCAGTGGGAGGTGGTGTGATCTGGCTAAGATAGTGGAGGGTTTCTCCAAGCCCTCTTCCTGGGCAGGTACTTGGTAGAGTCCTAGGATTCTTTTCCCTGGGTTTATGCTAATCAAGTTCCAGGATAGGTACAGGCACAGAATAGATGCTAACCATCACAGTGACCCCCAAGGGGGATAGGGAAGGACAGCAAACTAACTTTGCAAATGGGTTCTATGTGAAAGTGACAGAGGGAAGGTGAACTGGGCAATTGAGGAATGGTCTTGGATGTCATGGGGAAGAAGCTGAAGTCAGAAAGACCTTGTGCTACCATGGGAATGGATACGGAGATGAACAGTGAACTCAGATTTACTGAATGCCTACTCTGTGCTAGGTTACCTTCCATTTGATACCTCTTATTCCCTACTCTAGGATGTAGGTCAAAAGCACAAAACTTAAGAGCCAGAAATTAGTTAGGTTTGAGTCCTGGGCACTTATTTGTATTAGCTCTATACATTTCAATCGATCAATCAATCAATCAGCTTTTCTGCACCTTAGTTACTTCATCCTTAAAACAAGGGTAAAATCACCTGCTCTGTATTACCAACAGGGCTTTGTGAGAATCAAATAAGATACTGACTGTGCTAGGAAGAGCCTTTGGCTTCCATGTTACATGGTGAGGTGGGGCATGGCCTTACCTTCAGGTCGGCAGAGGCAGCAGCTTCAGGCAGTGAGACTTCTATAATTTGCCTTCCAGGTATGTAGAGCCCAGTACTCATCCAGCAATATCTGGTGCCTGCCAAAAGCAGGAGGGGTAGGCAGACTTTATCCCTCCTCCATGATGCCACCTCCACCCAGCATCACCAGAGACCCTTCGTAAGCACGTATCTTCCCCTACATGCTGCCTTGACTCAACTCTTCCAAACAGTACTTAAAATCCCAACCCTTATCTTCTTCAAAGTTCATGGTAAAAAATGGAGACCACCTTCTGGACATGATCGGGTCCCTGAAATGGACTGCTGATGTCAGCCTGTCCCCATTCCCCCATTCCCATAATACTGAGCTTCCAACCCTTGTTCCTTACCTGGATTGGTGCAGTTGACCTCGACGGTGATAGGAGATTCTGAGGGGCGCAGATAGGGGCTGCTGTACATATCTTCAATTTCTGGGACTAACAGAGAGAGGTCGCTTCCAGAGTGGGCCAGCCCTGTGGCCAGGGAAAGCATAGCACCTCTGCAGCAGTCATTGATAACAGGGTTCTCTCGGGTTGCTACTGGAAGCCGATATCGACTTAGCAGCTTCCTCAGGAGTCGATGCACAGACATGTAGGCAGGGATCTCTTCTGCGGGAATCTGCAGGAAAGCTGCACCATCTGGTCCCAGCTTTGCCAACCAGCCCTTTTCCACATTTCCTCTCTTCCTGCCCATTATAACCTGGAACTCGGCCAAGGTGGAGCGGAAGTGATAGGTCCTTATCCCTGCTTTAGGAGTACGAAAGGGCCCTGGATTGAGGCTTTGGCTTGTAATGCTGATGCCAAAGGGGTTGAGGAGGAGGTTTCCTGGGAATCGAGCCAAAGGGGACACTCCGGGGTTCTTGAAGGCCCACCACCAGGCTTGGGCTCCAACAAATAGCCCGCCACCCTCTGCTACAAACTCCTGCAGTTCCTTGACCCCCACTTCACTCACGGGTTCAAAGCAGTAGACACTTGCATCACTGGTCAGATTGGGCTCGATGCTGGTGTCTATGCCCCCCACTGCGAGGAGGCCACTCAGGGTTCTCAGCTCTGTCTGCACCACAACCTTGCCTCTGCGGCCCCCATCCAGCCAGCGGACAGCATTGAGCAGAAAGGGGCCCAGTTTACCAACAGTGAATAATACCTTATGGCCAGTCACAACCACCCGGCCCCGGCCATAGCGGGCAGCCGCTATAACACAGCCATGGTAGGAATCTAACCCTAGAGGAAAGGCTAAAGCCCCATGCACTAGCAGCTGGGATGGGAAACAATCCGAGTTGCTGATGTCCAGCTCTGAAATCCCATGCAGAAGCTCTTCTCTGTCGTCGGAGAGGTCATCTTCACAACTGCAAAAGACACATGCATTCTTTATTAGAGGTACAGTTCTATATAAAGCTGTTAGAACAGTGGATGGCATACAGTGAGCGCTATAGATGTGTTAGCTTTGCTAATATTGTTATTTTTAGTTCTTAGGGGAAAGTTGGGAGAACAAAATGGACAGCTCTGACCTCACTGGGTATGGAGACTTGTTGGAGGGGTGGCAGAGGGACTCAGCATTAATTCTGCTCTGCTCATTCTTAGAGCACAAATTCTCCAATGGAAATTGCAAAGGGAGCCCTGCTGTGTTTATCCAGTACCATGTCTTAAATACTCCAGATTTTAGTTCATGGTTATTTCAACCCTCTAAACAATACATATAAAAAAATGGGAAATCATGTTTTTTTTTCCTTATAAGGAGTCTTATTTATAAATTGCAGGAAATTGCAGCTAATTTCCTACAAATAAAGTCTGTGGAAGGACAAGTCAGTAGTGCTAGTGAAGAATCATTATTATCTCAAAAGGTGGGGTAGGGGAACTGACTGGCCTCAACTCTAGTGAGACCCTCTGGTTACCTGAGCCCAAGAGGACTTTACTGTCTGCATCTAGAACTCCACTTTTTCACTGCCTGCCCAACAGGAGTGATGCACATCCATGCTGTAAGGTTTTGCTCAGCACCATCTGTTTACTGTCTGTGGGTAATCCAGCCCTAGAAGCCCTCAAGATGCCCATAAATCCAAAATGAGATGGAACACTGGATAAGGTGGAGTTAAGGAATAGAGTGGCCTCTCTGAGCTTGAGATTCCAGAGTTGGTTCTGTCACTTTTGTTAGGTAAAGTATAGTAGGATGCAGCTACTATAGTATAGTAGGATGCAGCTGTAAGATAACACCAAAAAATGGGGGTCAGGTAGACAACAAATTTGCAGTGTTCGTGCTGTACTCTCTATGGCTGGCAGAGCTCTACTGATGGGAAAGCTATGGTCCTCTTAGCAAGTATGAACCTTTACTAAAGATAAAGCTACCACCATACTAATTGGTGGATGACTCTCTAACTCGGTAAAGAACTATCATTAACATCATTCAACTATCTCTTCTTGCTCTGATTCGAGGCTTACCAAACAACTCTGTGATTGTAATACTGCTTTCCATGATCACCTGCCTAATGAGAGAAAGAAGTCACTGGCTAGGCCAACCAGAATATTCTAGATTTGTAACATTTATTTATTTTATTCAAGCAACATTTTGGATAGTCTGTATTTAATTTGGTGACTCTTAAAATTTTTTAAAATTCATTTTCAATTGTAGTCCTTTAAACATGTATACAAAATTTAATGAAAAATGTGTTTTAGTTCTTATAATTAGAGTTCTGTTTATAATTTTTTTCTCTTTTATTTTTGATTTTTTAATTTAATGGAGAAGGGGGGGGGTCTCACTATGTTGCTCAGGTTGGTCTTGAACTCCTGGGCTCAAGCAATCCTCCTGCCTCGGCCTCCCAAAGTGCTGGGATTATAGGCCATGGCACCTGGCCTTGTTTACGAAGTTCATGCAATTATTTTTTTTTAAGAGTAAAATCAGTGAAGAGGTGGGCTACTGTGCTCTAAGTGAATACATCAGCTTCAGGATTTCTACATGAGCCTACTGATGAGAGAAATTAAACCTACAAAGCTGAGATTCAGACACTGAGTTATTAGAACTTCATCTGAACAATGAGACTACATGAGGTCTTGCTCAGTGCTTAGCCAGGGGGCACCCTCGGAGGCATCTGTCTATTAGTTCCAACAGCCACGATTTATATACAGTAGGGGCTAAGTAATTCTTTCATGTGTTGAAAAAATGAGTTGGATTTTACTTCTCTTCCTTACCCTCTTCTGAAGTGAAACAAAAGTTACTTAAAAAAATAAATCCTGGTGAAACCCTGTCTCTACAAAAATACAAAAATTAGCGGGGCATGATGGCGGGTGCCTATAATCCCAGCTATTCAGGAGGCTGAGGCAGGAGAATTGCTTGAACCTGGGAGGCAGAGGTTGCAGTGAGCTGAGATCATGCCAATGCACTCTAGCCTGGGCGACAGAGTGAAACTCAGTAAATCCATAATAGCATTGGATTTTGAGAAGGGTGCCATCAACAAACTGAGATAGTGGGGACATTTATAAAAAATATAAATCAAATGGTATCTGATTGATTGGAAAGCCATGAGAACAGAAGAATCTAACTGCGTACATGTGAAAGAGAAGATCAGGGGAACAAAGGACCAAAGATTATCATTTGTCCCAAGAAAATGCTCTGCAGTAACCAATAATGATCAACCTAGGATTTAAATGTAATTTAAAATTTAAATAGACAAGAACCACCAAATATCTGACGAAAATTAACAGCATGAAAGAGAAGCACCCAACTAAACTCCCAAGGGAACAATAGCAACAAATGGAGAAGAACGTTCTAAGTAGGTATTGCATATCATCAGAAAGTTCTAAGAAGATATATTACCTCTCTCGTGAAAAAATGGGACAGGCTACTCTAAAAGATTATTGATTAGGCTGGGCGTGGTGGCTCACGCCTGTAATCCCAGCACTTTGGGAGGCCAAGGTGGGCGGATCACGAGGTCAGGAGATCGAGACCATCCTGGCTGACACTGTGAAACCCCATCTACTAAAAATACAAAAAATTAGCCAGGCGTGGTGGTGGGCGCCTGTAGTCCCAGCTACTCGGGAGGCTGAGGCAGCAGAATGGCATGAACCTGGGAGGTGGAGCTGGCAGTGAGCTGAGACTGTCCCACACACAACCGCAGGCAACTACTGATGTGCTTTCTATCCATAAACATTTGTCTTTTCTAAAGCTTCATATAATGTAATCATAAAGTATGTACTCCTTTGAGTTTGGCTTCTTTCACTCAGAATAACTTTGTGAGAACCATCCATACTGTGGCATCTATCCGTAATGCATCGTCTTCTACAGCTGTGTATTATGCCATTCTGGAGATAGGCTACACTTTGTTTATCCTGTCATCTGTTGATGGACATTTGGGTAGTCTTTGGTTTGGGCTTGCTGCCCTAAACATTAATGTACAAGTTTTTGTGTGGACATGTTTTCCTTTCTCTTGGATAAAGGGTGATGAAATGGCAAAATTGTATGTTAATTGTCAGTTAACTTTATAAGAAATTGCCAAACCGTCTTCCAAAGTGGTTGTGTCATTTTATATTCCCACTGGCAATGTATAAAACCACATTCTTGTCAGCAATTCATATAGCGAGTCTTTAATTTTAGCCATTTTTATGGGGCCATAGGGCATTTCATTGTGATTTTAGTTTTTTGCATTTCTCTGATGACTAATGATAGTGAGAATCATTTGGGCTTTTTGGCCTTTTATATTTTATCTTTTGTGAAGTGTGTTAAACTATTTTGGCTTAAAAAAAAAAAACTTGCAGGGTGTGGTATCTCATGCCTATAATCCCAGCACTTCGGGAGGCCAAGGCAGGACTGCTTGAGCCCAGGAGTCTGAGAACAGCCTGGGCAACATGGCAAGACTCCATCTCTACAAAAAATTTTAAAAATGGCCAGGTGTGGTGGCGTGCACCTGTAGTCCTGGCTACTCAGGAGGCTGAGGAGGAAGGATTGCTTGAGTGCCATGTTCGTGCCACTGTACTTCAGCCTGAGACAGAAAGGGAGACCCTGTCTCAAAAAACAAAACAAAAACAAAGAAACATAGGTGGTCTCATTATTGGAATATAAGAGTTCTCCATGTATTCTGAATGCAAGTCCATTGTCAGATATAAGTATTGCAAATATTTTTTTTTCCAGTCTATGGCTTGCCTTTTTGTTTCCTTAATACTGTCTATTGAACTGCAGAGCTATTTACTTTTTAAAAATAAAGCTCAATTTATTAATCTTTTCCTTTTATGGTTCATGTACTTTTTGTGTCCTATGTAGGCAAAAATTGCAAAGGTCAAGGTCAGATATTTTCTCCTATGCTTTCATTTAGAAGTTTTTAAAATTTAGCTTTTGCATTTAGGTCTAGATCTATTTTTAAATATTTGCTTTTATGGAGTAGGGTGAGGGTCACAATTCACCTTTTTTCCATAAGGGTATCCAGTTGTTCCAGAACCATATGTTGGAAAGACTGTAATTTCCTCATAGAATTACCTGAGCAACTCTGTCAAAAAACAATTTACCATAAATCTGTGGGTCTATCTCTAAACTATCTGGTCTGTTTCATTGATCTGCATGTCTATCTTTATGCCAATATCAAAGTGTTTTGACTACTTCATTTCTGTAAAAAGTCTTAAAACTAGCCTATGTTAGTTCCATTTCATTTGTATATTTTTAGAATCGGTTTGAACTATGGACTGCATTAAATCTGTAGGTTAATGGGGAAACTGACATCTTAAAATATCAAGTGTTCTGATCCATCAACATGGTATATTTCTCCATTTCTTTAGGTTTTATTTAATTTCTCTCAGAGATGTTTTGTAGTTTTCACCATACAGGTCTCATGACATATTTTGTTAAATTTAACACTTACTACTTCATAATTTGGGTTCTATTTTAAATGTTGTATTTTAAAATTGTAATTACCAATTGCTGGTTGCTAATATATTAAAAAAGTAATTGGGTTTTGTAAATTGAATTTTGTATCTTACAACCTTGTTAAAATTAATTATTATAGCTTTACTGTAGATATTTTAGGATTTTTTTTTACATAGATGATCATGCTTTTTGCAAATACTTCTAAAAATAAAATAATTCCATTCTAGGAAATGCTCTAACTTTATGTTTAAATGGATCTTGTCATTTAAAAATCTTCTAAATGTGTAAAATACTTTTTTCTTTTAAATTTGTTTTCCAACACCAAGATTCAAACATTTCCTGTCTTTTGGCTCAGTGTTCTAGAAAAACAAAACACATATATATATATTTTTTTAAATTTCCAATCTCTATGCCTTATTTTCCTTGCCTTATTACACTGGGTAGGACCTGTAGCACAATGTTGAATAGAAGAGGTGAGAGCAGGTATTATTCCTTGTCATGTTCTCAGTCTTAGGGGAAAATGTTCAGTATTCACCTTTAAGAATATTTTTAACTATATATTTTTCGTAGACATTTTTATCAGGTTGAAGCAGTTCCTTTTTATTTCT
This sequence comes from Homo sapiens, assembly GCF_000001405.40. Taxonomy (NCBI): domain Eukaryota; kingdom Metazoa; phylum Chordata; class Mammalia; order Primates; family Hominidae; genus Homo; species Homo sapiens. The sequence goes on from NC_000007.14 coordinate 143,868,901, forward strand.
CATTTGCTGAAATTTTATCATAATTTGGTATGATTTGGTATTGAATTTGGTCAATATTTTGTATGTGTATTATTGAATTATATGGTTTTTATTTTTCTTTTGGTTTTTTTTTTTTTTTTTTTTGAGACAGTCTCACTCTGTTGCCCAGGCTGAGTACAGAGGCACGGTCTCAGCTCACTGCAACCTCTGCCTCCCAGGTTCAAATGATTCTCATGCCTCAGCCTCCCCAGTAGCTCGGACTACAGGCACACAACACCATGCCCAGCTAACTTTTGTATTTTAATAGAGATAGCGTTTCACTATGGTGGTCAGGCTGGTCTCAAATCAAACTCCTGATCTCAAATGATCCACTCACCTTGGCCTCCCAAAGTGCTGGGATCACAGGCATGAGCCACCATGCCCAGCCTTGAATTACATGGTTTTTCTCATTCATTCTATTAATATGGTGAGTTAATCTGATTACTGAATGTTAGACCAGTCATTCATCCTAGGATAGCCTTACTTGGTCATGAAGTATTCTTCTTTTTATATATTTCCGTATTCTATTAATATTTTATTAATAATTTTTCATCTATATTCATGAAGGATATTGTTTTGTAGTTTTCTTACGATGTCCTTTTCTGGTTTCAGTATTAGAGAAATGCTGTTTTAATAAATCAAGTTGGAAGATCTTCCTTTTCTATTTTTAAAAAGAGTTTATGTAGGATTTGTATTATTTGTTCCTTGAATGTTTGATAAAATTCATCAATGAAGCTGTCTGGGCCTGGAATTTTCTTTGCGTTGTTGATTTTAAATACAATTTCTATTTTAAAATGTAAGAAAATCGAAAACTTGCAATATAGTAAAACATCCATTATACATTTGTCAAAACTAAGAAGTCAACAGTGATCAAACACTACTAACTAAACTCCAGATTTTATATAAATATCATCACTCTTCACACCAATGTCTTTTAGGATCCAATCCAGGATACCACATTGCATTTAGTGTTGGAATGTTTAAAATTACAATTCAATTTATTTAGCATATATTTCATGTTTCTTTTTGTATCCATTTTGGTAATTTTTGGCTGTCAGGAAATTTATCTATCTCATCTAAATTGTCAAATTTATTGGCATAAAGTTGTAATATTCCCTTACTATCCTTTTAATGTCTGTAGGATCTGTACTAATATTCCTTCTTCTATTCCTGAAATCCATAATTTGTGTTATCTCTCCTATTTTCATAGCTTATCTAGAGGTTAATCACTTTTAATGATTTTTTTTCAACTAATCAGCTTTTGGTTTTACTGTTTACTTTTTTTTTTAAAGTTGTTTCACAGATTTCTGCTCTATTATTTCCTCGTTTCTTCTACAGATTTTGGGTTTAATTCAATTTCCTTTTTTAGATTCTTAATATGGAAACATAGTTCACTGAGTTTCAAATTTTCTTCCTTCCTAATAAAAGTATTTAAAGGCATATCTTTCTTAGCACTGTTTTAATAGAATTGCACAATTTTTGACATGTTATGCTTTCATTTTTATTCAGTTCTAAATATATTCTAATTTCCTTTGTAATTTCTGCTTTGACTTAAGGAGTATTTAGAAACATTTTTAAATTTACAAATATTTAGGAATTTTTCAGATATGTTATTGAATTCTAATTTAATTCCACTGTGATGAGGACATATATGGTATGATTTCAATTCTTTTACTCTTGCTAAGGCTTATTTTATAGCACAGCAGATGGTCTATCTTCACGGTCTATCTTCATGACTATCTCATGTGCACATAAAAGAATGTGTATTCTGCTATTGTAGCCATGCTGTTAGCATTCATAAAATAAAATTAAATAAACAAATATGGAGAAAACCCCACATGGAATAAAAACAGGCCCAAATGTAAAAAGCAATTTGAATACTTTTGAATATAGTACTTGCTGGACTCTATATGCTCAGTGTGGTGTATTCAGAAGGCAAAAATAACTTATCAAGTTTGTTATTGGCAATAGTATGGGTATAGGAATCATGAAACTCGTTTGTGTGTATTATTGGACTGAGCAAATAGGTAAATGTTGAAGCTGTTGAAACCAGGATTCTCACTATGGCAGAAGAAAAATACTAATATGGAATGAGTGAAAGAGAAGAAGAATCCTGTGGTTTTGAAGTAAAATTGGGGGTATCAGTGTGAATGTATGATTAAAAGATATGGCTCTCTCAGAACCCAGAAATGATGACACCATAGCACTGAGCATGCTTTAGATCTTGGTTTCTAAATACCGTTCACCACTAGAAGGAACTAGCATTCCTTGAGGAAATGGCTGAATCCAGGTTTTGAACCAGAAAAGTAAAAGGTAACCTTGCAACATCTTTTTATGTCAGAAACTAAGTAAATACTAAAAAAAAACTGATGGGCTCAGGAGACAGCTTAACGAGGCTTTAACTTGCCAAATTTGGGACAACTTAGCCTTCAAAAAATACTGACTATAAATGGATTGTAATGTATTCGATCTTAAAAGAAAAGGATCCATGAGTATAGGGTGATACTAAAACAAACGTTTAAAAAGAAGAACAACCCTAACAGTAAATGTGAAGGTGGGGAAGCGAAGGTCTTATTTACCAAAGGATGTCAATCAGTTCTTATAGAAATCTACAAGTAAACCAACACTTAGCCTGAGGTAAGTGCTAAGATGTTAGGTTAGTATGGGAGCACAAAAGACTCATCTATATCAGAATGAGAGGAGAGGAGTAAGGGACAGCTTTCTAAAGATGTGATACCTGAGATGAATTTTGAAGAAAGGTTCAGAAGTGGCTGAAGTGGTAGAAGTAGCCACTTTCATAAATATTTACTCAGGCACAGATCACCAATGAAAGCTAAAACCACTGGGTGAAAGGTTGTTGGCAAACAGGATATTCATACAGATCTCAAATTGTCACACACTAAATTAGTTTTAAAAAAGGGGGAAAGGAATAAAATAAGTAGAAATAAAATATAATAAATAAAATCAGTAAAATAGGAAAATCTGGCAAACTCCAGTTTAATTAAATGACCAATTTTAACATCACCAGTAATTGGACAAACTGACCTCATGCACCTTTAATTTGTGACACTGTGATGAAAACAACATAAATTATTTTCTTGCCAAAAATGTGTGAACTGAGTGTAATCATGAAAAAAAAAAACAATTAGACAAAGCCAAACTGAAGGGCATTCCATAAAACAACGGGACTGCATACTTCAAAAATACTAATGTCCTGAAAGATTTAAAAAAAAGCTAGGGAACTATTTTGATTAAAGGAGACTAAAGAAATATGATATGGAAACTTGATTAGATCCTATATCTTAAAAAATCTAAAAAAGGGATTTTTTTGAACAATTAGAGACGTTTGAACATGGACATTAGATAACAACATTCTATCAATGTTACATGTTTTGAGTGAGATAACTGTATTGTGGTTATATGGGAAAATGTCCTTGTTAGGAGATACAGGCTGAAGTATTCAGGTATGAAGTGTCATATCCATCACCTGCCTCCTTCATTCTTGAGATCTGTAGGTTACTCTCAAATGGCTAGGCCAAATAATCTCTTCGTATGTATACTTATGCAGCATATGTGGCAAAATGTAACCACTGGTGAATCTAGGTAAAGGGTGCGGTGATTATTATGTTATTCTGACAACTTTTCCTTAAGTGTGAAAAATTTGAAAGAAAGAGCTGGGAAAAATTAAAGGTAGCTATAATAATGATACAAAAATTGTGTATAACTTCTAAACAGAGAGAAGGGGAAAAGAAACTCCATCAATCAAGCTAAAGGCAGCAAAGGAAAATTTGAAAAGAAGCAACGAGACTGTTTAACAAAGAACATCAAATAAGATGATGGAACTAGAAGAAAAACACCAATGTCCTTAATTATATAAAAACATCAATGTCCTTAATTATATAAATTTTTAACCCTCAATTGGGTTAAAAAATCAGATTTGTACTAAGAGATGTATCTTTAAAAGCAAAAGAAAGAATAAAAAGATCAACAAGTAAAACAAAGTAGGAGTCAGAATTAATATTAGACAAAATAAAGGTGAAAAATACTAAATGCAAGAAATAATATTTTAGATGACAAAAATGTATGAGCCATAAAAAAGTCATGAGTTTTTATAAACCTAAAATATAGCTTTGAAATATATAAAGCAAAAGCCAAATTCAATTCTAAAATCACACTGAGAGTATGAAACAATTGTGATATACATCTCTATACTTATCCTTTAGACCAATATATAATATAAATATATTATTTATATTTCCATGACTTAACTGATTATATAATCAGTTGATCTAAAGGGTAAGTACAGATATAGGTACATAACAGATGACACTTATGGAATCCTCTTGAAAATGATATGGTTTTTGACATTTTGTTAGGACAGAAAAATAGTGATAATTTTAAAAATGGGATAACAGTATTGTGACTACATTTAAAATTTTGTCTTTATCTTTTGGAGATATACTATTTTATGGGTGAAATGACACACTGTTGGAGATTGGCTTCAAAACAAACGGGAAAGGTTAAGGAGTGGGTGGGGTGTGATTTGATACCATTACCTGGGTGATGAGTACATGTGCTCATTGTTCTATTTCTATTTCTGTTACGTGTTTGAAAATTTCCAAAATAAGATGTTTCTAAACGGAAATTACCAAGTCTTTAAAATGAAGAGGTGTATGTCAAGCTTAGGGGTGGTAGCGAAAAGATAGTCATTGTATTATTATTTATAAGAAAAAATAGAAATAACATTAATGTGCTAATAGGCAAATGGTTAAATGAATTTCAGGACAATCCAACTGAATGCAAGATGCTCTTCAAAAGGATGATGCCCATCTTTTTACAGGGATATGAAAAAAACGCTCAGGATATAGTCAGTGAAAGAGCAAGTTGCAGATCTCTCTCTTTTTCTCTGTGTCTCTTTCTACCAGTCCAGCTCTCCCAACTCTAACCCCAATACATAAATGTAGGAAAAACATCAGACAAGATACCATCCAAACCATTAGCAGTGATCATTTCTTTGGAAGGGGGGAAGAAAAGAATTAGCGAGAGGCAGAGGATGAGGTGGAGGACAAAGATCTTTCACTTTTTACTTTGTATGCTTCTGAATTATTTTACTTTTTTCCCAAGAAGCACATATTTTAAAATTAAAAAGGAAAAATGTTCATTAAAAGGAAAAGAAAACAATTGTGATTTGGCAATCTCTCTTATAAAACAGCATATTTTGCCACTTGTACTCACTCTCTAAAAAGTTCTATTTTGTGAAAATCAGTTAAAACAATTTTAGTATATATGGCTAAGCATATAGTAAGAAGTACAAAGCAGGAGTTAGGTAAATACATTCACCCCACCATGCCTGGGCATTGATTCTGACCTAAAACCTATAATTAGGATTCTATATATGCCTAACATATAACCAGCAATAACCAGCAACGACCTCCAAGGATGTGCAAGATCCTTATTATAAATAAACTTACAACCAAGTCTCTTTTGTGTCTAATATCCCTTCACCATTTTTCAAACTGAAGGGGGCATGGATAGCATCAATTTATAAGGCTGGTCAATTCAGGTTTCGTGAGGGTATTTTCAAACCAAATTTATGGGAGCATTTGGGCATTTAGAGTATGACCATTTGTACGGCGTTCTTTTCTATGCATCTCTGATGACTTTGTGAACATACAGAGATCACTGTAGACTGAAAAATGTCCTACAAGGGACAGTAGGAGCTTCTATGCCACCACTTTCCTTTAGAGAGAAAAAGAGAATTGAAAGGACATGCTAGTGCCACACTGTGCCATTACTGGTTATAGATCCCAGGTTTCCAGGTTTTATGAACAATGATAGCATAACCCTCTTCCTACAACAGTTACTTGGTTTTTGACTTTTGTTTCCAAGTCTTGTAATTGGAGATGTTCCTGTGCCCCTAATTCTCAGATCTTTGCAAATCAGGTTCTTGAAATAAGAAATAATGCCTGGGATATATAATATGTTTAATAAACCCTGGCTAAATAAATGGATGAATGAACAGAGAGTTTGAACTCCTTTGCAGAAGCCCAATATTTGGGCTAAAATGATACGAGTCATCTTTTTGTCCAAAAACATAGTAGACTAACTATTCTGGTTGATCTTCCTAAAACTTCCCTAAAAGTCCCATGCCAAGGAGAAGTCATAGCTCATTCCCCATACCTTCGTAGTACCCTTGGTGTGTCGTCCTCACCCAATCCTACCTTGCTCCATTCCCATCAGTCAGAAATATCAGTGTTGTTTGTTCTGAGAATGCTGAGAGTTTTAATATACAACATAGAGAGTGGCCTAATGTACTTTTTCTGCTCCCGGGACTAATCCAGCTTATAATCCCTCTCATTCATTCATGCAGTCATGCATGCAAGAGATGTTTACTGAGCACCTACTGACCTGCTATCTGTTAGGCACTATATGTGGTGCTGGAGTGCAGTGAGAGCAAAGCAGGCAGGGCAGTACACTCCAAAAACTTTCAGTGCAGGCTCTCCTGCACCCATCACCTGACTCCTTCATTACTGATCATCAACCTTTTGCCCCTCCTAAATCCTAGATTTAGCACATATAACTTGAACCATCTTTTCTGATATCTTAACTTCTGAAGGCTTCTACTTCCTATTGCATCCTAACCTCATCTGGATAGACATTTCAAAACCTTCCCCACACCTCTCTAGGCTTTGGCTCATGGGGTCCTTCATGCCTGTTTTCCTTTTCTTCACATTCCTGTTGAAAGCAACCTCTCCTATAAACCATCTGGATTAACTATGCCAACTGTTGGGGCCAACAGCACAGTTTTGATTAAGCAAGACACTGGGACCATAGCCACCATTAAGTTCAAATTATCAAAGAGCTAAATGGTCTGGTTTGGGAAGACAGGGGCAGTGAGGACCTTGCCCCTCCTATGTCTCAGGGCATTTAAAAAATCTAGTTGATATGTAGTGATTCCATATCTGAGTGCCTGGGAGCACTCTTCTGTTAGCCTTGGAGCAACCTGAAGATAAGAACTGGGTCTGCTTTTCAACCCTGGAGCCAACTCCCCAGTGGGGTAACATACTCACCTAACCAACACTGGGATCTTGGGCATCTTCTTGGAGACTTTAAAGAAACTCGTGTCCCCTTTGTTGTCAGTAAAGTAAATGCCAGCCACACTGGTCACGAGGTTCCCAGGGAACGTGAACAGAACCCTTTCATCCTCCCCCTGGTTGGCCCAATCCCAGGCTTGTCCTCCTATGAGCAAGCCGCCACCACATTTCATGAACTTGACCAGCTTTTCTGTCATGGTTTCATTGTAGGCATCAATACAGTAAACCCCCAGGGAGTCTTTCACTTCTGGCTCAACCTTTGCATCCACTCCAGAGCCCTCGAGGATTTTGGCCAAAGGTGCCAGGGATGGGTGTACACCAATGGGAGCCCCAGGGGAAGAGCAAAGCCACCCCACTGCGTTCAGGAGAAAGGGCGTGAGCTGGGCTTCCACCAAGTAGTCCTCATGGGACACGACCACCAGGCGGCCACGGCCATAGGAGGAGGCAGCAATGAGGACCTGGCCCATGTCATTCACCATCACAGGAAATGAAGCCTCTCCAATAAGAAGCAGTTCACATGGAACAGCATCTTCGGGTACATCCCAGCTTGTCACACCATTCATAAGGGCCTCGAAGGCAGCAGAGGGAGTCGCCATGGCTCTATTGGTTTCTGCAGAGAAGAAAGCAAAGGCTCAGCTTAGCGAAGAATGGATAAACAAAGAAACAAATAGAGCAGTTCACTCTTCCAGTAGCTGGGCTATTCTTCCCACTATGCAGATGAGGCTGACACTGGGAAATGATTTAAGCACTCGGTGTTAGTGTCTGAAGTCCAGGAGACCCCAATGGGCCCTCTCCTCTTAAATTCTGCAGTCAAACTTAGAGAGCTTGATACTTTTCCATCACAGAAGGAAACAAACAGAATGAAAGAATGAGCAAGGAATTGTGTCCCCCAAAGAGATATTTTGAAGTCCTAACCCATAGGACTTATTTGGAAAGAGGTCTTCACAGATGTAATCAAGCTAAGATGAGGTCATATGTGATTCAAATGGGTCATAGTCCAATGACTGATGTCCTTGTAAGAGGACATTTGGAAACACAGGGGAGAATGCTATCAGAAAATGGGGGCAGAGATTGGAGCGATGAGTCTACAAGCCAAGGAAGACCAAGAATTGCTGGCAAACACCAGGAGCTAAGTGAGAGGCCGGGAACAGATTCTGCCTCAGAATCGCCACATTGCTGACACCTGGACTTCAAACTTCTAAGCCTTCAGAACTGTGAGATGATGTCTTCCTGTTATTTTAAGCCACCCCATTTGTGGTCATTTGCTACAGCAGCTGCTGGGAATTCATACAGTGGTGCGGCATGTTGTGCTCCCAGCCCATTCCATCCCTCTTGGCTCCCACACTAATCAGATTAATCCCAGCTTGGAGAACTCAGAACTTCCATCTGAAATGCCTGGGCTTTCAGAAAAGGTTCTTTGGTCAAAGCCACAGGCTAGGTAAGAGGAAAGTGGAAGTCCTCTGTGGTTTAAATGCAAGTCTCACATAACCAGGAGCAGAAGGTAACAAGATATGCAATTACTGCAGCATCCTAATTGCACCTGGGATGCAGCTGACAAAAGTGTGGAGGTGAATTCACAAATATCCTCGGCTTCTTCACAATGAGATCCCCACTAATGATGCTCTATAGTCTGACCTCTGCTATGAGCACTGTACTGAAACACTTCCTCCAAGGACAGATGTGTTTTCATGGTCAGGTCATGCAGGTTGTCTCATCCTCAGTGACCACTCAGCAGCACAGGACATCACTGCTCTTCAGTCCATGAGGCTGAACCACCTCTGTCAGTGCGGCCCGAGGTAACCTCTTTATATCCAACCTCTAGAACCACTTACTTTCTGTCCTTTTCTGACCTCCTCTTGGAATATGCAGACAGCCCTTACAATTTAATCACTGGCCCTTACTACTTGTCTATCTCCCTTGTCAGATAATATGCTCACTCCCAACATAATACGCAACCTGATTATAAACTTGGGCTCTGGAGTTATGGCAGTCTGAGTTTGAATTTCAGCTCTGTTGCTTAACAATTGTGAGACGCGGACAACACATCTCAGATTTAGTTTCATTATTAATTAAATAGGAATAATAATATCTGCCATATACGCTTGTCCTGAGGATTAAGGGAAATAACATAGGTTAAATGCCTTTTCATAAGTATTATTTATATGCATAAACGTATATGTTTATAATTATTTGGTTAAGAATAAACCATTTAATTTAAGCATGTGAATAATAGAGAATTCTTGCAGTGGAAAAACAATTTAACCTAACATAGATTTTACAAGCACTGAATTGAGCATGTATTGATTCTGATTTAATAGTTTTCATATTTTGGTACCATACTAATACTAACACTAACACTAATGCTAATTACTATTACATTCATTTCTCATATATCTCTGTGTACCCTTGAGAAAGCCCTTCACACAGGCTGTGGGCCTTCCACAAGCCAGGATAAAATAGCCCCAGTCTTGAGGTAACAAGTTCAAGACCATACTGGCCATTTATAGCCAGTCTCTAAACTAAAAAAGTCTTGAATTTATTAATTTCCCTCTAAGTGAGCTCTTTTAAGGCAAATTACATAAGCTCAACGTTTCTAGTAGTTAAACAGAAGCATTAATGACCTACCTACCTCAGGGGACTATTGAGAAGATACTGATATGAACATTTGGTAAGCAAGAAGCTTGTCTCTTCCCTGCTCCTCCTGATGCCCACAAATAATCAGGATAGCAAAGTGCACAGTGTCACAGTATGTCTCTTCTCCCTGCTGCTGCCATATCCAGCTGGTCACAAGTCCTATTAATGTCCTTGTTCATGGTTTCCAATCACACTGCCATTAACCTAGTTTAGGTCCTTAGTAATTCATGCCTGGACTCAACCGACCCAATTTCTAAGTTACCAAGACCTCTTCCCACCTTTACTTTTCTAAAACCACTCTAATCATGTTATTTAATCTCAAAGCTCCACCTTGGTCTCTGGGGACCATCTACTGCCTCCTGGTGTGGACTGCCTGCAGAGCTGGCTGCTCCCTGGCTTTTCCTGCCTTTTCTCCTGCTGCCTTTCTCCCTGCAGCATCCCGTCTGCCAGGCGCCCTTGGACATGCCCTGTTTTCATTTTAGATTATCTTCCTAATCTCTTTCCATTCTGTTCCCTCTCCCAAATCTTTCTATCTACGGAAATCCTGTCCTTCTAAGAGAAGATATGGCACAGAAAAGAAAATATAAATGGCCACTTGTGTGGAAAAAATGCTCAATCTCACTAGTAGTCAAGTAATGGAAAATATATCATGTGTTGCTCATAATATTGTTAAAAAAGATGATACTTCTTTCTAGGAGAAAGTGGAGGAGGAGAAGAAGGGGAAGGAGATGAAGATGAAGAAGACAAAGGTGGCTAGTAAAGTTTAATATTTGAAAGGCTAATAATGTTTAATACTTAAAAGACCATCACAATCGGCAGGAATGACGGAGAATGTCTGCGCTCTTTTTCAAAAACAATTTTATGGTGCCTACTTGGCTTCAAAGGTGTGCCTATCTTTAGACCCAACAACCTTTCTTCTAATAACCGTTCTTACAGAACTAAGAAGGGCAGTATCAAAGATATACGTACAGGATGCTTACTGCCACACAAAATTACAAAGGGAGATAAATGAAAACCTAGAAGTACAGACAGATAGACTAATGACAAAGAATGTTTCCTAGAACCATTTTTGATTCTTGTGGGTGCAGGATCTCTAACCCAAACCCACACCTATCCAACTTCCACATAGCCCCCAGATACCCCATTGTACCCAGCATAAGACCCTGTAGCACTGTCCCCAGCCATCTATCCACACACACCCACTAAAGAGTTGCCCATCAGAACCCTTCTCCCTCAGCCTCTGCTGCCTCTAACGCTGGCACGAGTACAAGCAGAACAGGGACCTCACATATCTGTCTCACTAGTTGTTTTCTGAGCTAGTTCAAGGATGAGTTGAATATATTTTACATCCACCTAGAAGAATGTCCTAGATACATTTCAAGTGAAAATTTCAAGTCACTATGATATGCAGAACATGAAGTCATTTTTGTATGGGCAAAGATAATAGTAATAGTTGTAATTAGTAGTGGTAGTAATTATTATTAGTAGTAGTAACAACACAATGCTTACCAGGTTCCTGGCATTACTACACGTGATTTCTGTAACTTATTTAATGCTGACAATAAACCTATGAGATATTTACTATCACTATCCCCATTTTATGGATGGGCAAAACAAAAACTCCAAAATCATAATGCCCAGAGAATTAATTATTTGCTCAAAATCACACAGGTGCTAAGTGGTGGTGGATCTAGGATTCAAATCCAGGAAACCCAGTGCTGGAGTCCATACTCTTAAGCACCAGGAATACATAAGTACCTGTTACATACCAGGCTTTTATATGCATTGAAAATCTATGGAGGCCACATTTCAACATAATCACATTGATTACATTAGGAAGGAAAGAGGTGAACCATTTTCTCTGTCTTTATACAAATCTGCATCCTTTGAATTGTTGTATGTATTGCTACTACAATGAGAAACAACACCGAGTTAATACAAATTCAGTTAAGCATGTAAACACACATTAAAAGATTAGGTACAGTTTTTACATGATGAGGTAGACTGATCAACTGATCCTGGCTCACTGGACCTAAAAGGTCTTCCTCCATCTCTGATCAGGTTGTGCATCTGCCCATCTATAAATTTGATTTCCTCCTCTATGGGGGTCCCTTGAACTCTGCAGCTGGTTGTGTCCCCACTTTAACCAGCTATCAGTGACTCCATCACTTGACTTTTGAACCAAATGCTCCCTCTCTATGCCCGAATCCATGTTTGTCCTCCAAGCTTGGTGAGCTCAAATGAATAAAACCTGGGGGAAATGTCCTTTCATTTCTCTCCCTAACCCCTCCCATGCTTCCTGCTTTCTTTCTCCTGGGCCCACCTCTGGCCCCTTTTAGCTTGCTGGAACCAAAGCCAACTCCAAAGCAGAAAGTATTGAAGGCACAACCTGTAACTCAGGGAGAGAGCAGAGCTTCCACTCCCACCACAGAGCAGCGCCATGGCTCGTAAACCTGGTTTTCCCTTTGAGAGATGCGTGGAAGGGCAGGTGGATGGAGGGCCATGCTGGATGCTGCACCACCCATATCCCGTATGGTAGTGTGATTTCAAATCCTGAAACTAGAGTAAGTGTCTGAGGCCAGAGTATACATTTTATTCTTTGGATGAATAGACATTCCATGTCTGGATGATTAAATGACAGATGAGGGTATAAGGGTAAACCCAGGATCATTTTTTCAGCAACTAGCTAGCCTGACCTCGAAAACTGGTTTATATTACACACATTCAATTCCATAGGTCTTCTCTCCTTCATGCTGTTTTTTTCTCATGAACCTTCTGTTTCTTTTCCTTTCTATATCCAGTGTCTTTTCCAAGACATCGGGCTAGTTCAACCCCTTTTTTGAATTCTGTCCTAGACATTCCCAGCTCAGTCTTATTTTTCACTTAAGATTGTTTAATTCATACACCTGTAAGAATATGGAATACATGTGGAGGGATATAGATGGTAATAATAAAACAATCTGAAAAATTAAACAAACTCCCATATACCTACCATTCAGCTTAAAAAATAGACCTTTACCACCATCTTTGAAGCCCCTCCTGTGATCCTCCCCATTCAGCCCCTCTACCATCCCCATAGGAGTAAGCAGGGTTGGAGTCTTTGCTTCTTCTAGTCCTCTATTTCTACCTTACCGAACTGCCTTCTTAATTCTCAAGTTCCCCAGAGGCTCTGTCTTTCTCTTACTCCTATTCTCTCACTTCTCTCCTAGGTCACTCAAGAGGATGACATAATTGAGGAGCACAAGCCCAGGAGTGAGAAGACCTGGGTATTATTACCTTTTTAAATGTGGGCGCTGCCTACCCCCCAGCTGTTGATCTGCGTGCCTCAGGGAGTATTCTATCAAATGCACAGTGTGTGAGAAGGGATGTTCTAAACTCCCAGAGGCTGTCAGCACTCAGCTTGGAGTCTGGCGGGGCTCCACTCTCTTCTTTCCTCCCAGGCCCAAAGCCAGTCTGCAAAGAGCACAACGGTGACGTCTGAGAAGGGAGGGGGCTGGGGAGTGGGGGGCAGCCGGCAGGGAGGAGGGGAGCTCCTCCATGCGCGTAAACACACACACACACACACACACACACGAACGCTCACTCAAGTCTCCAGGGGCCAGTGCCAGTGGGAGATAGAGCTCAGTCCCAAAGCCAGTGTTCACAAAGATCAAAGGGCAGTAGGACAGTAGGCCACAAGTAATGCTCTGTCACCAGCTACCCGCGACCCTGCTCAAGCCCCGGGCCTTCTCATCCGACAAAGCAGCGGATTAGACGCGGTTCTCTAGGTCAGGCCCTCAGGTAACTCAACCACACAAAGCAAGCACACACAAACATCAGATGTCAGAACCTGGAGAGGAGGAGCAATGCGGCAGGGGGATGCGGGACCCAAGCGCAGAGGAAAATCACCAGCAGAAATACGGACACAAAGGGGATTCTCTGTCCCCGATGATTTCTGATTTCGGCACACCCAGACCCACGGCGCACCCATCGCGCCCCGCACCCCCGCCCCGGCCTCCCGCCCTGCCCTCCCCCCCGCAGCACCCAGGCCGAGTCCACCGTTGCTGGCCCCTTCTCCAGCCTGCCAGGCTTTTGGAGAGGGCCACTCACCAGGTCACCCTGCGATTTCCACGGGGGCAGGTGGGAGCGGGCAGAGCCTGGCGCAGAGAGGAATGCACAGGGAAGAGGCTTCCCTGTACCAGTGACTGGGCGACCGAGCCGGGATTTGGGAGCGGGGAGGAGGCTGGAGCTGGAGGAGAGGAGGGGTTTCCACGGGAGTCCCCTCCTCCCCACTTCCTCCCAGGCTGGAGTGGGAGCTCCAGGGGGCGGCGCTTGGCGGGGGACAGCGCTTCTTTGTGTCGCCGGCCCTGGTGGCTTGGCATTGCTGTGGCTTAGGGACGCCTGGAGACCCCATCCTGGCAGTGTGGACGGCTGTTTCATTAAAGATACAAACTTCTCTGACTCTACATTAGTAAGGGAAAGGCTGAGCAAATTGTGGGACAAACATTCTGCTTAGTATTATTCAGTTCTTAGGAAGAGCTTGAATCTCCATTTAGTCGGTGAATATACCGTGATATATTGCCAAGGGGAAAATACAAATTGTAGAAATTGTTGAATATGCTTTTGTTTTTATAGGAAAAACAAACCCCGTATATATTTGTATTATGGTGGGGAGAAGGGAAGGCTACATTTCTACCCATTAATATTGTTTAACTTGAGAAATAGGAGAGGTGCAACTTTTTATATAACTCTGCACTGTTTGCAGTTACGTGTCTTACTTTTGTAAATTAAAAATAATATACAGTTCAAACAATAGTTAACCAAAATGTATTTTTCGGTGTACAGTTCAAATCGCATTTCTTTCTTTCCTTTTTCTTTTTTTTTTTTTTTTTTTTTTTGAGACGGAGTCTCGCTCTGTCGCCCAGGCTGCAGTGCAATGGCGCGATCTCGGCTCACTGCAACCTCCGCCTCCCGAGTTCAAGAGATTCTCCTGCCTCAGCCTCCCAAATAGCTGGGATTACAGGCGCCCGCCATCACGCCTGGCTAATTTTTTTATTTTTGTAGAGACGGGATTTCACCATGTTGGCCAGGCTGATCTCAAATCACTGACCTCAAGTGATCCGCCCGCCTCGGCCTCCCAAAGTGTTGGGATTACAGGCGTGAGCCACCATCGTGCCCGCTCCCCATTTCTTTCCTTTATGATATCAGCTGAGAGCTGCTCCTCTCTCTTGTGTATGTGGCCACTTCACCTTTCTCACAGGTGCTGGCTCCAGCATGGGAAATGCAGGGTGGTGACAGGGACCCAGACTAAGTGGACTGGATTCAAATCCCAGAGCTACACTTTACCAACGGTGTGACTTTGGGGAAGTTACCTAATTCCTCTGTGCCTCAGTGTTATTACCTATACAACGGGGATGAGAAAAGTAATACCTATACTAAGCCTTATTATAAGGCTTAAGTTAGGTGAGTTTATGCTTGTAAAGTTCTTGAATCAATGTCTGGTATACGGTAAGACTGGATGAGTGCCTCATAAATAAATATTCAAATCATCCTAAAATTCAATATTTCATATTTCAGGAAAATGCATACCTTTTAATCCTAACTGGGGTTTGAGTCCCAACCCAAGCCATACTCCCTTTCCCCATCTCCCTTCAACTCCCTTTCTCCAAATTGGATCATTAGGAACAAGTCAGAAGGCCATGTAGATAGGTGAGCTCCGCGGCAGGTTTTATGTAAAGGAAATGGCAGGGAGAGAAATCAAGAGAACCTGAATTCAAGATTCTGCCAAGTCAAGGCCCACCTGAGAGACAGTGAGCACATCTTTTATCTTCTCCAGTGTTCAGATTTTTCAGCTAAATGAAGCGGGCTAGTGACTGGCACTCACTAAGTCCCTTCCGGGTCTGCAATGTCAGGACTAACAGCACCGCAAGTTAAAACCCTGTAATACTGAATCTCGTGCAAAAATTTTAAATTCAGAACAAAAACGCATACCTAAAAATAAACATTAATAATAAAGGACAAAATATACAAGGTAAGGGATGCAAGCTAACTTACCTCTCAGGATGGGGGCATGAGATTTGGTGGGGGGAAGGGGTTTTTAAGTGTTTTATTTCTTAGAAAGAAAGGGGGGTGGAGGAAGAGAGGGAGCGCTGAAGCAAAGGTGATAAAATGTCAGCATATAATAAATCTGTCATATTATCTCCTGCGCGTAGCTTTGAAATATATTTCATAATAAAATAAAATATGTTGCTGGTTATGTTCCTGGAGAAGAAATGCAGTATGAAAGAAATAAGAGACTGGTAGAAAGAAGCTGAAATAGAAACAGCAATGGAGAAAGCGCAGGCAACCCTTTTTGAAAGACATCTACCTCCCTGGACCCAAAACCCAAGGGGGTCCCAGGCCAAAAACGCGACCACTTTGGCAGCCCCGCGTGCGCCCCCCTCGGCCGCGCTCCCCAAGGACCCCGACCCAGTGCCTCCTTCTCCCACCCGCACCTCAGCGGACTGCATCGGGAGCCGCCCCTGAATTGGTCCGTGTGCCCGGGCCTGGTCTGGTCCCCGAAACCAGCTTTGGACGAGACTCACCCTTTCGTCCAGCAATTTCCACACCAGGCTACTTTGGAGTGGGGAGTCTTCCACAGAGATGTGGGAAGGCGCTGGGGCAGACGCCTTGGGAATTTGCAAATTGGTAGTGAAGTGGCTAGGAGGAGGCGTGTGGGGGGAGGTGGGCTGCAGTGCAGACGGTTGGGGGTTGGGGCGTCCCCGGGAGCTGATTGGCTGCCGCGGGTGGAGGCGGAGCTTGGCCGCCGCCCCCGGACCGCAGAGGCCCGGCTTTGTGTCAGTTTCTACCCCAAGATGCCGCCCCAGATCCGGGATGGAGACCCAGACGCCCGCCCTCAGAGTGCAGCAGGACGATTTGTTTCAAAGTAAATCGTTGAGACTGTTCATTAACAAGGGAGCGATGGATAAATAATGATGATCTCTGTGTAAAATAATATACAACTATTTCCAAGGATGGGTTAAATCTACTTATATAAATCTACTTATATATTGCCTCTATCTATATATTTATATATTATTTTTAAAATAAACATCTAACATAGTAAAAAACGTTCCATTTTGTGTAAAAAAAACTTCAAAACTGTTCATATGTACTTATATAAACACAGAAATTGTATGGAAGATAAACTATTAGAACCAGTTACTTCAGACAGGAAAGTGGATTACTTGTTATTTTTTTCTTGATACACCTCATTAGCGTTTCAATAGTCACACGCATTATTTTGTAATAAAAATAAATTTAATCAACTAAAAAACTACATAAAATATCCTCACCCAAGCAGCT
Organism: Homo sapiens; assembly: GCF_000001405.40. Classification (NCBI taxonomy): domain Eukaryota; kingdom Metazoa; phylum Chordata; class Mammalia; order Primates; family Hominidae; genus Homo; species Homo sapiens. Next base: position 143,885,970 of record NC_000007.14, read on the forward strand.
GGCAGCGGCTTCTCTACAAATATGATTTCTCCCTGTGGAGAACTTTGTTGCTAGTTCTGATCCATGTTATTTGAGTGGAACACGAGACTTGACCATGGAGCAGGAACTGGCTTTATGCCTGACCAGGTCCTGCACTCGCATCTACTCATCTAACCTGGAGAGCTCAACTGTAAAACCTGGAGGAACCACTCATCTCTTTTTATGGCTGGTCCCCAGGGCCCCAGGGAGATTTGCATGGCCCCTGTCCTGTCTCCAGATTCCTCACCCCTCACTGCCCTGGCCCCTGTTTGCTGGGTACCTAAGGAAGGGTTGTCCTGGGACCAAACTGTTCTCTGGAAGAGACCATCACAAAGCTTTCTCCCTTACTACAAAAGTGTAGTGTCCAGAGTGGACCTTCCAGGGGAAGGTGGCTTCAGTGGTGAAAGGGACAGGGTACGACATCCCATATAAATTAAGGGTTTCATTTCAACTGCTCCAACTACAGGAAGCATAGGTTAAGAACTCTATTTTATTCTTTCTATTCCCCACTTCAACTAGGTCACAAACAGGTGCTCTGTAATGTCCACTGGATGGATGGATGAAATGGGGTAAGAAAGAAAATCCTTAGGATCATTCCTCAAAAAAACAAACAGCAGCCTAAAGCAGAAAATGGATGAAATTACACACCTCCTGTGCTGTAAGTAAGTTTTCTCCTTCCTTCATGCTCTTTTAATGCTTCCTCAAATTTTACCTTTTTTTTTTTTTTTTTTTTTTTGAGACAGGGTCTTGTGCTGGAGTGCAGTGGAGCGAGGCTCACTGCAACCTCGAACTCCTGGGCTCAATCGATCCGCCCACCTCAGCCTCCCCAGTAGCTGGGACTACAGATGTGCGCGCCATCATGCCCAGGGAGTTTTTGTATTTTTTTTTTTTTTTTTTTCTGTAGAGATGGGGTCTCACTTTGTTGCCCAGACTGGTCTTGAAGTCCTGGGCTCAAGTGATCCTCCTGCTTCCGCTCCCAAAGTACTGGGATTACAGGCATAAGCCACCCTGTCTGGCTGCTTCCTCAAATTTTGAGCTGGTTCTATCTCCTCTTTCTCAGTCTCAGACACCACATTATAAGCTAAATTTTAAATGCTGGATCCTTTCTTATTTCTACTTCCCCTTGAGTTTGTTTTCCTTTCTAATGTTCTGCCTGGAGTAGCTCTGAGTAACGAAGACTGCTATGAAATCCTGAAAGTATTCAAATAACTTTTGAGATACTAAGTTTGGTAAATATTCTGAAACATGTGAATAAATGAACAATTAAAAATCCATATCAAAAATATTACGCAATTCTTTAAAATGAGCTCAATTCATACCTTGAGAAATTGTCTTAATGTATATTTTCAGCAATAAAAGTATGATCCTACTTTTTGCAGGGAAAAAATTCTATAATTGCGTGTTTATGTTTAAGCACAGAAAACATAAGGACAAATTTGGCTACTTCAGGAAGTGGGGGAGGGTTGAGCAGTAATTTTTTTCTTTAGACACTTTGGATTTTGAAAATGTTACAAGTATTATTTTGCAACGCAAAATAAGACTATTATTCAGTAATACCACTTTTAGGTGTGTACCCAATATACACATTTTCACTGAAGGACACGTACTGGAATCCTCAAAGTGTCACCATCCAAGGTAGTCTAAAACTGGAAACTACTCAAATCCTATCCTCCCTGCTTTCTCAGCTCTAATCCACCCTGCTCTCTATCAGCTGGGTACCATCAACAGTAGAATGTTTAAATAAATTGTGGCATATTCACAATGAAATATGGTACAGCAATGAGAATGAATGATTTGCATTTTTCACAATATAGCTGAATCTCACCAACATACTGTAGTGAACTAAGCCAGAAACAAGAGAGTACATACTATATTGTTATATTTACATAAATATAAAAACAGGTGAAACTAATATTTGATATTAAGACTTAGAATAATATTTACTCTTGGGCCAGGTAGTGACTAGAGAGGAACACAAAGGCGACTTCTGGGTTACTGGTAATGTTCTCTTAATTAATTTAGGTGCTGGCCCAAGGTTGTGTTCAGTTTGTAAAAATGTATCAAGCTGTACATTTATGATATACTGATATATAATCACACATGCAAATATCTAACTTTAATAAGGTGTTAAAAATAATGTTTTAGTTCTAGGAATGTAGATAAATGTCCCAAAACATACTACTGATGCAAACAACATATATACACAAAATATTATAAATTCATCAATGAAATGATAGGAAAGTAGAGAGTACACAAAGCCAGAAACAAACTAAAAGCAGGAAACATTGAAGGAAGCAAGCATGAAAGCTGGCTCTCACCACAATGCTTCCACAAAACCCTGGAGAATGTATGGGGAGTGACTCTATGGGGTTTCCAGCCTAGGATATTAAGACCAAGCTCACAAAAAGAATATAATTAAAAATGACATCCCAGCACAAAGCTCACACACCAAAGGGGTATTCCAACAGGGTAAAGGTAAATAGGAAGTAAATTCATGTCACAGAAGAAATCAATGCAATTTGCTTGTCTTGACCCTGCTGAAAGATGAAGGGGAAAAAGATCAATGAGAATGAATAATCACAAACCAGTTTTCCATATAGGTTTGCAATATTAATTCATGCTACATCTGTGAATTCAAAAACCCTAAGCAAATAATTTGAGGTGGTCCCAATTTGCTAATGTATTCAATTGGAAGATGCACATGCATATCTTTTCTAGAGAAATTTAACTTTAATGTATCTAGAAATAATTTCTAGGACAAAAATTCACATGAAAGGAGAAGCTCACATTAATAATTTTTAAAACCACATAACACTCAGGAAATAAAGCACAATGAAAGACAGCCATTACAAACAAGAGAATCAGAAACAGGCAAAATTTAGATATCAGAATTACTAGTCACAGAACATAGAATAGCCATGTTTTGTACATTTGAAAAATAAAATAGAAACTAGAAACTTGAACAGAAAATAATTGTATTTATAAAAAAGAATCAAAACTAGAAATTAAAAAATAATTGAAATAAAATAGTTCAAAATAGAAATTTATTGAAGAGACTAAATAGAAGATTAAACAAAGTTGAAGAAAGAATTACTGAACTGGATCTGGAGTAGAGGAAATTATTCATAATTCAGTCTAAAATCGAAAAAATGATGGAAAATATGAAAAAGGATAGACGATATAGAGCATATAGTGAGAAGACCTAAGACACATCTGATCTGAGGTTCAAATAGATATAATAGAAAGATTGTGGGAGAGTTATTATTGAAAGAAATGATTGAATTTTCCAGAGATCTTGAAAGACACCAATCCTCAGATCCAGGGAGTCTAACAAATCCTAAAATGATAAAAAGAAATACTCATCTAAATATCTGTAGTGAATTAAAGAAGAGAAGACACCAAAGACATCTCAATTGGTTCAGCTTACACAATTCTGACTGAAAAATGAAAGTTGAGCAAACTCTCCACTTGATGGGATGCATCAAGATCAGCTGCAGAAAAGAGAAGAACTTTCAATGGAGATTTTAAACAAGTGAGATCAAGATTCTGAAGCATATCCTCAAAGAACTGTAACAGGAGAGGAAACATGGCTTTACCAGTATGATCCTGAAGACAAAGCAGAATCAAAGCAATGGCTACCAAGAGGCAGAAGTGGTCCAGTCAAAGCAAAAGCAGATGGGTCAAAAGCAAAGGCCATGGTGACAGTTTTTTGAGATGCTCAAGGTGTTTTGCTTGTTGACTTTCTGGAAGACCAAAGAATGATAACATTTGCTTATTACTGTAGTGCTCTGAGAAAGTCAGCCATAGCTTTAGCAGGAAAACACCCAGGAAAGCTTCACCAGACAGTCCTCCTCCACGATGGCAATGACTTTGCCCATTCCTCTCATCAACTAAGGGCAATTTTGAGTTTCAATGGGGAATCATTAGGCATCCACCTTAGAGTCCTGATTTGGCTCCTTCTGACTTCGTTTCCTAATCTCAAAAAATCTGTGAAGGGCACCCATTTTTCTTTTTTTTTTGAGACGGAGTCTCGCTCTGTTGCCCAGGCTGGAGTGCAGTGGCTCGATCTCGGCTCACTGCAAGTTCCGCCTCCCAGGTTCACGCCATTCTCCTGCCTCAGCCTCCCGAGTAGCTGGGACTACAGGCACCCGCCACCACACCCAGTTATTTTATTTTATTTTATTTTTTGTATTTTTAGTAGAGACAGGGTTTCACCATGTTAGCCAGGATGGTCTCGATTTCCTGACCTTGTGATCCGCCCGCCTCGGCCTCCCAAAGTGCTGGGAGAAGGGCACCCATTTTTGTTTGGTTAATAATGTAAAAATACTGTATCTACATGGCTAAATTCCTAGGACCTTCAGTTTCTTAGTGATGGACTAAATTGCTGTTATCACTGCTTACAAAAGTGTCTTGAACTTGAAGGGGCTTATGTTGAGGCAACATTTATTTTTCAAAAAATTTTTAATTCCATTATTCCCACAAACTTCTTGAAATTCCCTCATATCTTTGGAATAATCCTCCCATTGGAAACAATAATAAAAGCTCAACAAAATATAGGAAACCAACTGAAGACTCAGAAAAGTAAACAACATAAACAGGACAAAAGGACTATAATCCTTGATGAACAGAAAACACAGGACATGAGTTGTATATTCGCTATTGCTTTTTACTTTCGGGCATTTTTCATTTTACAGTGCAGGGTTACTGAGGCTGAAAAGGAAGTGTCAGTCTTACTGGTTCAAGACTATCAAACCAGGTGGAGCTCAAAGGGCAAAGTTTCAGACATGAAGAAACCAGACAAGTTAATCTAAAATTTTATATATGAATTCCCCTAATGTCACTGGCTGATTCCTAAGCTATGCATGCAATAGGAGAGACCTCAAGGAAACTTGTAGGAAATAGTGGCCAAAGAGCTAAACAGTTGAGCAGTCATTTCAGTGGTTATATTGTTCTGAGAAAAGCAATGGAGTTTATGCCCCAACAAAAAGAAACATTCTAATAAACACTCCATGATTTCAGTTGACACATAAGAAAATCCCTGACATATGAAGAAGCATATCTTATGGTTTAAAGACTATGTTCTTGGAGAAAGATCAAACCTTAAATGGGCTAGTCCTAACAAAGCCTAAAACTAATATTTGATAGCATCAAAGTAATCTGCTGGTACTTTATCTGCCCACTTCCCCAAAAAATCCTCTTGAAAGAAAATAACATCAATCAAAACCTTTATATTTTTTCATCCACAATATTCTGCATTGAATCAAAAATTAGGAAAGCAGTTAAAAAAACAGAATAAGTTGCCAATAACTCAAGAGAAATAACAGAAAATAAACACAGGCACAAGTGGTTCAGATACTTGAGTTCTTAGAGAACTTAACTGTGATTCATACGTTAAGAAATTAGAAACAAGGCTGTGGAATTTCAGCATAGAAATAAAACTCATAAAAAAGTAAAATGAAAAATTAAAAAAGAAAAATAATAATAATTAAAATTGGTACTTAATAGATTGCTTTAATAGCATATTAGACACAAAAGACCAGAGAATTGGTGAAGTATAGCAAAGGTAAGTAGAAAGTATCCATACATAACATAAGAGGAAAGAAAACATGATACACAAAGAGATCAAAAGATACAGAAAGAGTGTAACAGGATTATGAGATAGGGTGAAAAGTTGTGACACATGAGTAATCACAGTCCCAGACGGAAAGGAAGGAGATAATAAAACAAGCAAAATGTTATCAATTAATGATTTGAAAAACATCAAACCACAAGCTGAAGAAACTTTATGTTCCCCGAGCAGAATACACAGAAAGAAAACTACATTGAGACACATCACATTCAAACTGCTGAAAACCAAATTCATAGAGAAAATCTGAAAAGCAGCCAGAGATAAAGGATACTTTTCATTTAAATGAACAAAAAATACAGCTAATTTTTCAAAAGAGTGATGAAAATAAGAACACAACAGAATTCCTAAAAGATGAAAGAAAAAGAAAAATCTGCCAACCTAAAATTCTATACACAAGAAAAATATTCCTCAAAAATAAAGGCAATGTAATTTTAGATACACTAAAGCTGAAAGCATTTTCCACTAGAATATAACTACTAAAACTAATTTTTTATGAAAATTATTCCTCATAGAAGTACAGTGCTGTAGGAATTAATAGAGAACACTGAAAAGAGTAAATACATAGGCAAATATAAATGAATATTGACTGTTTAAATAAACAAAATGCCTTATGGAATACAGAAGCATATAAAAAATAAAACAGACAATAGTACAGCTGCAAGATGGAGATAAACTTAAAATTTTGCATTGAGAATACATAGAAGTAATAATTTAAGGTAGGTCATAATAAATCAATAAGGTGAACTGTAATATCTAAAGTAACCATTAAAATAATTTAAAAAATTATAATTCAAAATATTGAAGAAAAATTAATAGAAAGTGTTGAATTCGAAAGAAATCAAGAAAAGAGAAAATAACAAAGAAGAAATGGAACAAAGAGAAAACTGTGCAAATTGGTAGACTTTAACCCAATTTTTTTTTTTTTTTTTTTGGAGAAGGAGTGTCACCGTTGCCAGGCTAGATTGCAGTGGTGCGATCTTGGCTCACTGCTGCCTCGGCTCACTGCAACCTTGCTTAAACCCAATATTTATAGATTGCATGTTTGTGTCCCTCCAAAATTTGTATGTTGAAATTCTAACCCCCAATGGAATGGTATTAGGAAGTGGGCCTTTGGGAGGTAATTAGATGTAGATGATGTCATGAGTGTGAAACACTCATAATGGGATTAGTATCTTTATAAGACGAGAACGAGACTAGAGCTCCCTCTCTTGGCCATGTGAAAATACAGTGAGAAAGGTAGCTGTCTATAAGCTAGGAGGCCAGCCCTCACCAGACATTAAATCTGCTGGTTTATCTTTAAATGTTTGTTGTTTAACCACCAGTCTATCACATTTGTGTCACAGCAGCCCAAAACAACTAAGATACCAACTATATAAATAATTATACTAAATATAAATGGATTAAAAATCCAATTAGAAAAAGAGTTCATTTAGAAGAGAAATATTGAAAGTGAAAGGATGGAAAAAGGTACACCAAGCAAACATTAACCAAAAGAAAGCTAGTATGGCTTATGTACAATGGGCAAAGTAAACATTACTGTCAGCAAGTGTTACTGTAGATATAAAACAAATTTCATAATGATAAAAGGATCAATTCAGTACAGCAATACAAAAATTTTAAATTTGTATCCTTAATAACTTCAAAATTTATAAAGCAAAGTTGACAATAATAAAAGAAGAAAAGACAAGTCCACAAGCATAGTTGAAGATTTAAGTACATTTTTCTCAGTAATCTGAATAAACAAGTGCATAAAAATCAGTAAGGATATACATGATTTGAATAACATAATTAACAAATTTGACCCTGTTGACACATATGGTACATATACACCTACCAACAACAGAATATACATGATTTTTAGTGCGTGTCAAACATTTTCTCAAATAAAACATATACTGGGTATGAAGCAAGTCTCAAGAAACTCAAAAAGATGTAGAATATATTCTCTGATCTTAATGGAATTAAACCAGAAATAAATAATTTTTATTTATTTAATTAGAAAATTCCCACGTTTGGAAATTAAGGATCACACTTCTGAACACCCCTTAGGTCAGAGAAGAAATCACAATGGAAATTAGAAAATATCTTAACTAAATAATAATTAAAATACAATTTATCAAAATTTGCAGGAGGCAGCAAAAGCAATTACTTAATAAAGGAATTACTTAATAAAGGAAAACTCTATAGCTCTAAATGCATACATTAATAAAAGGGAAAGACTGAAAGTAAACTATTTCAAAACATTAGAAAAAGAATAACAAATTTAAAGTAAATCAGAGAATATAATAAACATAAAAGCAAGAATCAAATTTTAAAAAATTTAGAAATTCAGTAAAACCAAAAGTTGGTTTTAATGAACCAAACTAAGAATGATCAATAAAGAGACACAGAGAGAGAATCCATTATAATTATCAGGGGACATTATTGCAGTCCCAAAAGACATTAAAAATATAACAAAGTGATATTACAAGTAATCATATGCCAATAAATTTAACAAACTCAGATGAATTTGCAAATTGTTTAAACAACATAATTTATCCAAAACAGCAAGAAGAAGCAGAAAATATAAATAATCCTATACATAAAAAAAATGCAGTCCAAAATCAAAAACATTCTGCAAAAAAGTTTAGTCCCAAAAGGATTTTTATGGTGAATTTTTCTAAACACTTGAGAAAAATATAATACTAATATCATAAAACTTCTTCCAGAGACTAGTAAATGAAGAAACTCTTCCCAACTCATTTTTATTACACCCAGCATAACTTTGATAGCAAAATCTCGTAAGTACATTATAAGAACAAAAACCTAGAGACGAATATTACTCAATGAACATAGATTCAAAAAGTCTAATGGTGTGAAATGCCTTTTCAATAAGTAGTTCTTGATTGATTAGATGTCTATATAAAAACCAATGAACCCTTAACCCATACCTCATATCATATACAAAAAATACTCTGAGATAAATTATAAAACTAAATGTGAATGGTAGAACTATTAAGCATAAGGAATCTTTTTGTGACCTAGAGGTAGGCAAAATTCTCGTCAATACAACTCAAGTCCTAAGCATAAATGTTTGGATTTATTAACAATAAAAATTAGATATTATAAAAATTAAATAAAGAGGTTCTTTTTATTAAAAGACATAATTACCAATGGGAAAAAGCAAGCCAAAGATTGGAAGAGGATATTTGCAAATCGCTGATACAAGAAAAAATATATATGCATATTCGGAATATAATTTAACACACTCACAAAATTAATTAAAAAAAGAAACCACCCCTTTACCCCCAAATAGACAAAATACATGTGCAGGTGCATCACAAAATATGGTATTCAAATGGCCAATAAGCATACAAAAAGATGCTTAATATAATTAGTCATCAAAGTAATACAAATTAAAACCATAATAAGATACCTATATCCATTTCACGTGGCTAAAATTAACTATAGTGACAATATCAAATTGTGATGAGGATCTGGAGCTGATGAACTTATATATATTTCTGATGGGAACATAAATCGATACAGCTATGTGGCAAAACTGTCTGACATTATTTAGGCTGACCAGATGTATGTTCATGAGAAGTAAGTTTTTATGTCTACCAAAGATATGTTCAAATGAGATTTATTTGTAATAGTCAGAAACACTGGAAAAAATAAATGTCCATCAACAGTAGAATGGATAATTTGTGATATACTTATACAATACTATAGAAAAAAAAGTACTGCTATATGCCACTATATGGAAGAATCTCATCGACCTAAAACTGCATAAAACAAACACAAAAGGATACCTGTTTATGACTCAATTTATGTGAAGATCAAGATTGGACCAATATATCATGACAGAGGTCTGAATAGTGGTTATTTTTGAGAGTGAAAATTACCTAGAGTAGGGAAAAACAAAGTCTTCTGAGGTGTTGTAAATCTATATCCTGATAGGACCATATACATATATAAAATTCACTGATCTGTACACTTATTATTTGTGAACCTAACTCTACGCACATTATAACTCAGGGTTTTTTTTTGTAAAAAGAAAAATCTGTAAACACATGTTGGTAAACATATATTTAATACACTGATGGTATTAAATAACAATAATCATTTGATACTTGCGGGGTAAGAGACAAGGTACTAAGGATCAATTTAACTTAAGTATGCTAAATTAAATCTGTTATAAAACTAGTTAAACATCTTAAAAATTAGGAATTATATGCGTTAAACCTATTATAAAATTAAAACATCAGAACTAAGACATGTAACTTCCAAATAAAAGAAAGAAAAAAATGGGCAAAGAAAGAAAGAAGGAAAAAAATGGGTGGGGGGAGGGGCAGGGAAAGAAACATAAAAGGCAGGAAAAATAAAAAGCAAATAATAAGATGGTAGAAATAAATCTAACTTTGTATTACTAATCACAATAAATATACACAGATTATTCAATGACAAGTTATAAATTGTCAAACAATATTTTAAAAATCCAGACTTTTAAAAAATCCAAATAAGTTTACTACATATATATTTAAAACAGATTCTGAAGAGTTAGAGTCAAACGATAAAAGAGAGATAAATGAGGCAAAAACCAAAGAAACCTTGATTTGATCTTTGAAAAAAATACGATTTTAAAACAGAAAACATTAATAGGTATCATAATGTAAGGTCCCTACATTATGATAAAATGTTCAATTTACAACAATTCACTGATAACATAGCCTCAAGATATATGAAGCAAAAATATATACATTTATGAGAAATTATCAAATCCACCATCATGGTGAGAATATTTAACATACCTATTTCTGTAATTGGCAACTCAAGCAAATAAAAAGTTAAAGATATGTAAGATTGGGTTGTATAATTAAAACAGTTGATACACAGAACATCATGTAATTACAGACTACACATTCTTTTTACGCACACAAAGAAAACTTACTGGGTTTTAAAGCTAGCTTCAGCGAATTTAAAAGAATTGGCACTATGCAATCTCTGACTACAATATAAATTAGGCAACTACAACTACAAGATAACAAAAGAAACTTCATATGGCCAAATGGAATTTAAAAGGTACATTTATAAAAAATTCATGTCTCAAAGAACAGACTATAAGGAAAATTATAAATAATTAAAGCTACATGGTCAAAAATAATCATATCAAAACTTGTCAGATGTAGCTAAAAAGTAGTGATAGAAATGTATAGCTTTAAAAGCTTACATAGGAAGAAAAGCTCAAAATTAATGAGCTAAGCATATAATTTAAAAGCTTAGAAAATAAATCACAGAAAAAATTCAAAGAAAGAAGAAAGTAATAAAATAGGTAAAAATTAGAAAAAGACATAAAGCTTTTATGTTGGTGTTTGAAAAACTAATAATGTAGACCATGTTCTGGAAAAATTAAAACAAAAAGAGAAAATGTACACATATTAACAATGAAAAAGTGGCCATATCAATAGATAATGGAAAGATTTATAAACAGAATGAGAGGATTTTATAAACAGTTTTATTTTGTTAATCTTGAATATATATATATATATATATATATATATATATATATATATATATATTCATATATAAACACTTCATCCTTGAATAATCCAGGTTTGAACCGCGTTGGTCTGGATTTTCTTCTGTCTCTGCCACCCCCAAAGACAGCAACACCAACTCCTCCCTTCCTCCTCATCCTTAGCCTACTCAATGTGAAGATGACAAGGAAGACCTTCATGATGATTCACTTTTACTTAATGAATGGTAAATATGTTTTCTCTTCCTTATGACTTTCTTAATAACATTTTCTTTTTCTCTAGTTAAGAATATAATGCATATATAAAACATGTGTTAATCAACTGCTTATGTTACTGGTAAGACTTCCACTCATTAGTAGGCTATTAGTATTGAGTTTTGTAGGACTCAAATGTTATATACAAATTTTCAATTCTGAGGGGGGTCAGTATCCCGACTGCTCCATTGTTCAATGGTCAAATGTATTTATATATATTGAATAAACATATACATGTACGTATACTGATACATTCATGTATATGTGAAATTGTTAAATATCTTGGAAAATACAATTTACTACAACTGACTCCATAGGAAAACCTAAATAGTACTATAATCATTAAAATCTTCTGAAAAAATACACTCCAAACACAGATGATTTTACAGGTGATTCAAGGAAATATTCAAGGACCAGATAATCCCAATCTTGCACAAATTCTTCCAAAGAATAGCATAAGGGAGAATACTATTCATATTATTTTATGATAATACCAGCATCAGAAAAGGATAGTACAGAAAAGTATAATTACATGCCAATCTTAAATCACACGTATAAATATAAATATCCAATGTTTACCTTTTGTATCTATATCCACATACAGAAATTACTACATATTTACCACAAAAGGTTTATTCCAAGAATACAAAATTGGTTTAATATCAGAAATTAAATACTATACTTTACTATGTTGTTAATATAGTTAAAGGAAAAAAAGTATATATATTCTCAACAGCTACAGGAAAAGCATTTGAAAAAACATCCATTTATAATAAAAGTGCTTACCAAAAGAAGAACAGAATTTTCTTATGATGGGGAAGACATTTACAAAGTAACTATAGCAAATGTCATTTTTAAGTTGACATAATGAAATATTTCTCATTATTATCTTAAGGACAAAACAAGATGCCCTTTATTACTTTTATTCAACAGTGTACTGGAGCTCCTAGTCATTGTCATAAGACAGAAAAAATAAATTGAAGGTATGAGAATTAGAAACGAATAAACAAAATTATCATTATTTTCGGATGATATGATTGCCTATGTAGCAAATCTGAAAGAAGCTACAGGTAAATTTAGAATTATTAATTTTCTCAAGTTTGATTGATATATAATTAATATATAAAAGGCAACTGAATTTCTGTATGCCAGCAACAATAAACTACAAAATATAACTTTTACAAAAGAAAATGCTTACAATAGCAGTAAAAATATGACGTGCCTAGAAATTTAACAAAAACTGAGCCAAAAGAAAACAATAAAAAATAGTACAAAACATTGAAGATGACTTAAATAGTGTCATATACCATGTTCATTGAGGAAAAGGGCCAATGTCTTAGAAATAATTTCTGCCCAAAATAATTTATAGAGTGCAATGGTTTGAATGTGTCCCTCAAAAAGCAGGTGTTGGAAACTTAATCCCCAATGCAATGGTGTTAAGAGGTGGGCTTAATGAGAGGCCATCAGGTCATGACAGCAGAGTGAATGAATTAATGCCATCACTGTAGGAGTGAGTTCATTATAAAAGGCGGCATTCACCCTCCTTTTACACTCTCTTTCAGCCTTTCTCTGCCTTTATGCCATGGAATGACACAGTAAGAAGGCTCTTTCTTGCCAGATGCCAGCCACTCAATCTTGGACTTCCCAGCCTCCAGAACTGTGAGCTGATAAATTTTTGTTCCTTATACATTACTCAGTCTCAGGTATTCTGCTATGGTAGCACAAAACAGACTAAGACACAGAGTTGATCCATTATCAATCAGAATTCCAACAGGTTTATTTGCTTGTTTGTTTCTTGTTTTGGAGAACTTGATAAGTTTATTTAAATATTTATATGGAAGGTCAAAGGTCCAAGTAAAGCTAAAACACTCTTAAAGAAGAAGAAACAGGTGATAGGACTTTTCCTACCAAATTTCAAGGCTTTTAATAAAACTATAGTGGTTAAAAATTATTTAGTATTGAGGCAGAGTTAGACAAATAGAAAATAAGAATGGGGGCTTAAAACGAATTCATGCTTATATGGAAATCCTGATTCATGCAAATCACTGGTGCTGGGGCAACAGATTATCCATATGGAATAAACAACATAAAAATCAGTTTCCATGTGGATTAAGACTAATTGCCAAAGGCAAAACTATAACACTTTTAGAAAACGATACACTAAAATTAATCTATGATCTTGAGAAAACAATTATCAAACAAGAAAAGCTATAAAAGAAAGTACTACTAACTTGAAATTAAATTCAAAACTTAGATTCATTGATAGAAACAGAGAAAGAAACAGATATAAAGACATAGAGAGAAAGAAAACCTCAAAAGCAAATTGGAAAGATGTCTGTGGCATATATAGCTAACAATTACTGCTTCGTACCCAGATTATATAAAGAAAGCATTCCAATGAGTCAATAAAAAAGGTAAACAAACAATCCAATACAAAAATGAAAGAGACAGGAATCAGAATTTCACAAAGAGAAAGCACTGATCAACATATAAAAAGTCAATCTCATTAGTTATGGAAAATGCTAGTTAAAATCACAGTTAAATGCTATTTCATACCTGCCAGACTGACAAAAAATGTAATTTTACAAGACTAAGCTGTGGCAAGCATGTAGAGCAACAAGAATGCTCATCCACTGCTGGAGGGAGTGCAAACTGGTTTAACACTTTGGAAAGTTTAGAAATGACCCAATAAAATTGAATACACATAAATCTTATAACTCCGCAATTCTACTCCCAGCTATATACTCTAGGGAAGCTCCCACACAAGTGTACTTGAATATTAGAGGACATGGGCAGGCTTTAAAGTGGCCCCGATAATCCCTGCCTCCAGGTGTTCATGTCCTTGTGTCACCCCCTTCCCTTCAGTGTGAGTTGGGCCTAGGGACTCACTTCTAATGAATATAAAATGGCAAAAATAATGGGATGTCGCTTCTGAGGTTACAGAAAGAATCTGACTTCTGTCTTTCTCTTTTTCTCTGTGGGAGCCTTCTCTCTGGGGGGAGTAAGCTGCCATGTTGCAACCATTCTTTATACAGAGGCCCATGTGGCAAAGAACTGATGTGTACAGCCAGGGTCAGTGAGGCCAATCGGCCTGCCAGCAGTCATGTGAGTAAGCCTGGGAGAGGTCCTCGACCCTACGCCTAGCCTTGAGATGACTGAGGCCCAGTCAATACCTTGATTGTTGATACAGCTTGTGAGAGACCCTGAGTCAGAGACTCCCAGCTAAGCCCCTCCTGGATTCCTGATCACAGAAACTGTAAGATAGGAGGTAACAGGACTTGTTTTGTTTGTTCGCTTTGGTTTGAAGCTGCTAGGTGTTGGGGTAATTTGTTACATAGCTTATAGATAAATCATACACCTCCAAAAGTAGAAACAATCCAATGTCCATCAGCAGTAGAATGGATAAATTATGTACATTTACACCTTAAATGACGAAAACGAAAATGGAAGGAAGCATGAAAGATGAATCTATAAAACTTAAGAATACGTACAGGATAATGTCATTAATATAATGTCATTATAATGAGAAAGCCAATACATATGTTTTAGGAATACACACACAAATATGGTAAAACTAAAAAGAAAAGCAAGGGATTCATTAAATTAAGACAAAAATCACGAAAGATGTCACATCTCAGAGAATGGAGGAGAATGGACCATGGGCATCAGTTGGGACTCATGGGCTTCTAAGGTACTGTGACGCCCTATTTCTTGACCCAAGGAGATGGTCAGGCATTCGTTTCATTATTTTTTAGACCATTCTGAGATATTTCATTTACTTTTTATTCAACATTTTAAAACAAAGTATTGAAACCAATTCATCAACAAATCACTAGTTTGGAGGATGAAAGTGATGGACCGATGGTTGGCTGGTCAGCTAGACAGACACATTCTGTCCTTTACGTCTAGTTCGAGCTGTACTTCTTCTAAATTTCCATGATTATCCAATTGGCAAAGATCTTTTTCTCCTGTACTTAAGGCCTTCTTCCGTTGCAGGTTGGGCCAAACTAGCGGCCAGCTCTCGGCTGTTTACCAGGGAACTGTATCACCCAGCACTTGCTGCTTCAGGCCAAATGCATTCCAGACTAACATTCAGCCTGAATCCCCGCGCCGCTCTCACCGCCACCCCTCCCCAGGTCCCTTCCCCCACCACAAACCCACACTGCGCCCGTGGGCGCCTAGAGCACTGGGGTGGATGAGAACTTCCACCTGGGCTTAACGGAGACAAGCTAGCCTAGAAGAATGCAAGCCCCCAGCTGGCGAGATCAAATCGCCTCGAGGGTTCCTGCTAGCTCAGATCTTAATGGCTCCTTGCGGAGCAAAAAACAAATCCTACGAAAATAGGGGGGGTCATCGCCTCCTGCCCAGCAGAGGGCATAACAATGCGGCGAGAATGAAATAGGCACCGAGCTGCAGAGAAAAATCATCAACGGGGTAGAGACGAAGGAAGGGATCCTCGGTGGAACGGCTCTATCACCTGGGGGCGCGCGCAGAGGCCGCAATCCACGCCCGGCCCTCCCCAGACGCTAAACGTCGCACCCCGCCCACCGCTCCCCGCCCCGGACACTAACCCGGGGCCCAGGCCTCGGTCACCGCGGGCCTCTCCTGGTCCAGAGTCTACGCTGAACCCCACTCACTGTTTGCCCCGCTGTTCCCTGCAGCGCGGGTTCGGGGCAGTAGCAACCTGCTAGGAGCGGGAGGCGGTTGTTCCCAGGAGGAAGCAGCTTCTCCGCCCAGGAGGCAAAGGGCAGCGGGCTCGAAACTACAGGACTTGGAAAGTCTTAGGCGGAGACTGCGGGGGTGGGGGGTGGTGAGGAGGGGCCTTCCAGGGAGCTGATTGGTCGACGCGGACGGGGGCGGGACTTGGCCGGCGCCGTCCCTCCCCTAGACCTCAGAGGCCCTGCCCGCAGATGTGGCGCCAAATCCCGGATGCAGGCCTAGGCGCCAGCCCAGGAATATAGGGAGCAAATTGTTAAGAACAAAACAAAACAAAACAAAAGTGAGAATACTTCTGAACAAGTGACGGCCTTGATAAATAGCGAGAGATGTTTATATAAAATAATACAGGACTATTTTTAAGGACGAGTGAAATCTATCGGTTCTAGCTATAGTTTTTAATTAAAAAAGCAAGTTGTATTAAAATGGAGAGTAGGATCTCTCTTTCCCCCTCCCCTCCCCTCCCCTCCCCTCCCCTCCCCTCCCCTCCCCTCCAGGGGGAGGGTCTGCTTCTGCCACCCAGGCTGGAGTGCAGTGGTGCCATCACAGCTCACTGCAGCTTCAACCTCCCAGGCTCAAGCGATCCTTCCACCTCAGAGGCTGGGACCACAAGTGCGCCGCCACCACGCCCAGCTAACTTTTTGATTTTTTGTTAGAGACAGGGTTTTACTTTGTTGCCCAGGCTGGTCTCGAACGCCAGGGCTCAAGTGATCCTCCCGCCTCGGCCTCCCAAAGTGCTGGGATCACAGGCCTGAGCCACTGCATCAGCTTTAGCATTACATTCGTGTATGAAGAAGACATGCTGCATGTGCTTCTATAAGAGGCGGGGCTAACGGTGGAGAAATTGTCTATTGATTCTTACCTTCACAACCACTGAATTGTTTTTTTTTAAACCAATACATTGTTTTTATAAGTTTAATAAAACAGTAAGGCGTTGAGAATGTTACTAACCAATCAACAGATGACAGATATTGGGCATGAGGGAGGAAAGAAAGAAAGGAGTAGCAGGGAAAAAGCCTGGACTTTGAAGCCACCACATCCTCTGCTTACAAGTTGGGCAGTGTATTCATTGCTAAGGCTGCTGTGATAAATTTTCACACATTTAGTGGCTTAAAACAACACAGATTTACTACTATCTTCCAGGACTGTAGGTCCTGGAAGTCCAGCACAGGTCTCACTGGGCTATCATCCAGGTGTAGGCAGGGATGTGTTTCTCTTTGCAGGATCTAGGGACAAATCTATTTTCCTTGCTTTTTCCAGCTTCCAGAGGCTCCCGCATTCCCTGGCTTGCAGCCCTTTCCTTCATCTTCAAAGTCAGCAATCTCATGGCTCCAGCCTCTGCTTCTGTGTCACATCTCCTTCTTTGAGTCTCCTGCTTCCTTCTTTCACTTAGAAGGACCTTGTGATTACATTGTGCCTATCCAGATAATCTAGATAATTTCCCATCTCAAGGTCAGCTAATTAGCAGCCTTCATTCTGTCTGCAACCTTAATTCTCCCTTGCCATGTAGCATTGCGTATCACAAATTCTGGGAATTAGGATCTGGACATCTGTATTAATCCATTTTCACACTGCAGATAAAGACATTCCCCAGACTGGGCAATTTACAAAAGAAAGAGGTTTAATTGGACTCACAGTTTCACGTGGTTGGGGAGGCCTCACAATCATGGCAGAAGGCAAGGAGAAGCAAGTCACATCTTATGTGGATGGCGGCAGGCAAAGAGACAGCTTGTTCAGGGAAACTGCCGTTTTTAAAACCATCGGATCTCCTGCGACCTCTCCACTATCATGAGAACGGTTGGGGAAAGACCCACCCCCATGATTCAATCATCTCCCACCAGATCCCTCCCATAACACGTGGGAATTATGGGAGCTGCAAGATGAGATTTGGGTGGGGGCACATAGCCAAACCATATCAACATCTTTAGGGAGCTATTTTTCTGCCTATCACAGAGGGCTTGTTAACTTCTATCTTAGTGTTTTCATCTGTAACATTGGGGATAATAATTGTCTCTACTTCATGGAATTTTTATGAAGATTAAATGACTTAATACAGATAAAGCTCTTAAAGCAGTGTCTGGCACATGGAAAACCCTATGTGAATGTTCACCATTACCAGAGAATGGACAGATCCTTCCAGACTTCTTCCATGATTTCCTTGGCCCTTGTCTCCTTTGCTCTTCAAATCTCCAAGTTGTGTGTTCTCTCCTCATTTCCCTGCAAATCTAGTCTCCCCTCAAAACTACATAGGCCTAGCCTGAGATTGGAGGGCAGACATGGATGGGACTTTACTTCTAAGAGATTTCTAGAAGTGAATGCACCCAGCTACTAGCACAGAGGCATAGTTTATGACTACTATGGTGAAAGGAAAAACCAGCGTCTGGATGTGTTTGTGCGGTTAAATGGGGTGTCTGGGGGGAAACTGTGGGGGCAGGTGGGTGTTTGGGGATTGTAGACTGAGTGTGTCTGAAAGACCAGGATTGCTTGCAGTTACCTCTCTTTCTCATTCTCTCATTTCTCATTCTCTCTGCCAAGACAGCTGCACTTCTCTCTTGCCAGATCCCTTCTCCCCTCAGAAGCTGACAGTCAACAGGACATAAGCTTGCCCACCCCCACTCCCTCTCCAGGCACACAAGCAAAACCCACCATTTTTAGTTGCTGTTGTTTTTGCTGTGCAATTGGTCATAGAATTTCAGAGCTACAACATCTCATCCACTCTCCTCCTTTATATTAATACAAAAAGGAACACTGAAATGCAAGCAGCAGAAGGGGTTTGCAGCAGGTAGAGGTGGAGCATGACCTTGGAATTCAGATGCCAGCGCTCTTGCAGTACAAAGTCCTTGAGGCTGAGATCACTGGCTAGTCCTCTCGGCGCCTCATGTTTCTGTGTGTGTGTGTGTGTGTGTGTGTGTGTGTGTGTGTGTGTGTGTGTGTTTGTGTGTGTATATGTTTTAGGGTATGGAAGGACACGGAGCCAGTGCAGCAGAGAAAACCCCTTCACCAGCAAGCACACCAAGACTCCTGAACCTGGGCCAGTGCGAGTTCTGGGCCAGCCAAGGCCAGGAGTTTCCATTTCACTTGCCTCCTCCCGCTACTGGCCACCCCTCAGCTCCTCCAACCCCCTCACCCACCACTCCCCCACCCCTTTCCTCTCCTTCTCAGGCTTGCTCTTTGTGGACTGGCTGTGATCCTGGGAGGAAAGGAGGAGAGAGGGGAGCCCTGCCAGACTGCAAGCAGAGTGCTGACAGCCCCTAGGAGTTTAAGATGACCTTTCTTACACGTCATCGCATGTTTTATAGCTCTGAAGAGCAGCAGTCTTTTTGGTGGCTAGTAAGTGCAGTACTAGACAACAAGGCAAGTGGTCTGTTGGTAAGAGTTCCTGCCCACGATGCTCTCTACCTGTAAGGAATTAAATTATCTCGGGGATGAAGGTGAACAATATGTAAGAGAGAAGATGGACAGAAAGACCCAAGGGAAATGAGCAGTAAAAGGGAAGCAGGGTTTAGAATTGAGGGAGACCTGTGAGATTGGGGCAGAAAGGGAAAACAGGTCAAACAGGCTCAGAAGGGAAGTGGAGGGGTTTTGCTTTTGAGAAAGGTGCTGTAGGGAGGAGAGACACAGCAGTGGGAGTGAAGGAACCCACAGTGCAGGAAGAAGGTCTTATTTATATTAGAGTGAGGTCATTGGCAAGAGAGAGAGAGAGACAGAGACAGAGACAGAATCCATCTGATTCCCTTCCTTCTGGCTTGACTGGAAGCTGGAAAGGATGGATGGAGAGGGTTGGTGCTGAATTCTGAAACCAGCCCTCGGTAACATGGCCAGCAAATTGCTCTCAGCTTTATGAAATTTGTAGTCTTGTCTATAGTTTAGGAATCTAAACCTGAACCGGTTCTCGAAAACATGGCAATGTAATCTTCTCCATTTCCCAACCTCCCTGCCATCTCTCAGTCCGGTAGCTAGGATGTGTAATTCCTTGCCTCAGGTACTTTTCCAATGCAGAAAGCAAAGCGTCAGGGCCACTTCACGGATGTGTGACCACTGCAGTCCCGTGGACCCCTACACTTAGGAGAGCCTCACCCTTGGTTTAATGCGCTGTTGTCTCCATCTTGGAATTCTTAATACGTTTTGAACAAGAGGCCCCACATTTTCATTTTGCACCGTGCCTCCAAATTACGTAGCTGCTTCTGCAAAGCATCCCGAAGGAGTCAGTCTTTAGTGAAAGCCTGAGCCACTGGACAGATTACCAAAGCTGCTTAGACAGTGAGGTGAGGGTGGGAGGGCCTTGGAAAACCGCCAAAGCCAAGAGGAGAGAATGCAGAGACCTGGGGTAGGGCCTGTGGACCATAGAAGAGCAGTGATGGGCTAACTGACCTATGCATGTGTTACTGTGGTACCCTAAGGAGCTGGCCAGACCCCAGAGGGGATGCCCAGGACCCGGTCGATGACTATGACAGAATTTTCTGTTAAATCAGTGGGATAGGAACTCAACGTCAGCATTGAGTTGACTGAATAAAAACAAAATCATTTCTGTTTACATACATGAAATTTTCAACTGAGACTGATACTTGCCTCATGAGCAAGCAGAAAGATTTTTTTCCAAATTTACCTATAATAGAGGTTCCAGATCAGCAGCCCATAGGCTAGACTTGGTCCCCAAGGGTGTGTTTAGGGGGACTGGGTAGTTGTCTAAATCTTTTCACTAATTTCCAACATTTAAGGAATCAGGAGTTTTCACATAAGGAGCAGACTCCCAGCTTCTCTTGAATAAATTGGAAACTGAGCATCAGAGGGCCTGCATTCTCAAAGCATGACAATCTAAAGTCCCCCTTTAGAAGACTGTTCTGCTGCCTAGACTGCGCTTTTACCTTCCCAACATCCTGTACCAGGCCCACTTTTCCCCTTCACATTACTGCCTGACCTTTGTAGGCAGTGGGACTTGTAATCAGGTCCTGAATGTTTCCCAACAATGCCCTTTCACTGCGTAGTACTCCCTGCGGTGGGTCAAAGGGATTCCTGCAGTGTTGCAACCTGAGTAGGAAAAGCGGATGCAGCCCCGCAAGGTGACCTGACAGGCCTTTGGGAATGCTCCAGAAGAAAAGGTTCACTTGAATTCAATAAGGAAACCAAGGAATTGCTCAGGTAAGTGGTTCTCCACAATATGAACATTTGAAATATTGTTAAGTGTTCTGTGTGGGGGTTTTCTCCACGTGATTGGGGGATATCCCATTAAGGAACAGTACCCATGAATGGTGGAAACTATGAATGATGCTGGGTTATTTTTTAGTTTCTGAGAAGACACTGGTGGAGGTAGGAAGACATTTCTACACTTGAAGGATAATATTCTGACGTTTTCAGGGGCTACTCATTACCTCAGGCCACTATTTGAAGATAGGGTGATATCGGCTGGAATTCTTAGTGTTTTATAAACTTACTTCTTTCCTTTGTACAATTTCTCAGAGTGGGCCCTTTGGCAGAATGAGTGAGTGATAGTGTTTAAGCATCATTCCAAGATGAACCAGACTCTTATTTTTATGGAGGCAGAATTTGCAACCAAATAGTCTGGCTTCAAATATACATTCTTATGTAAGATGTAGTGTGAAGAAAGCCTAGCACCTAGTAAATGCTCAGCACATAGTAAATGCTCAGCAAATGCCATTGTATTTTCTTTTTCTTTTTCTTTTTTTTTTCTTTTTTGAGACGGAGTCTTGCTGTGTGGCTAGGCTGGAATGCAGTGGTGCAATCTCGACTTACTGCAACCTCCGCCTCCCGAGTTCAAGCAATTCTCCTGCCTCAGCCTCCCAAGTAGCTGGGACTACAGGTGCGTGCCACCATGCCCAGCTATTTTTTTTGTATTTTTAGTAGAGACAGGTTTCACCACGTTGGCCAGGATGGTCTCGATCTCCTGACCTTGTGATCTACCTGCCTTGGCCTCCCAAAGTGCTGGGATTACAGGTGTTAACCACTGTGCCTTGCCTGTATTTTCTATTAAATTATATTCACTGTTTGAAGTTTATGGAATGAGGTTGTGTCCCATTCCTACGTTGGTTTATGCTACAAAATTCTTTATGTTTTTAAAAGTTTCTTTAAATTAATTTTATGACATATTGATAGGAAATCTACTTTTCTGGCGTCTTTATTTGGCAATTTCTGCCATTGCCTTCTAACAGAAGTAAACATTTATGCTAGCCAACTCATTCCTGGAAAGATTTCACCAATTTTCTTTGACAGAATTCCCAAGCCGTCATAGTTTTTACACTATCTAATGGAAAACTTTATAAGCTTTTTTTTTCTGGTCACTGAAATATATAGCCTCTGTACCCTAAACCTGCAACCCCTTTCTCCCGCCCTACCTCAATCCCATTTAGGAAATTCAAATAGGGTGGTTTGGAGAAAGGAAAAAATGTCCTAACGTCCTCCTAAAGGAAAAACAAAAAACCAATCTATTTTAAAGCAGGATATTAAAAGTGTCTTAACAACTCTGGTTCAAGCCTGGAGTTCTCCTCTGTTTGGAAAACAGCCGGTTGTTTTGACACTGATTATAAAAAGCACCCTAGTTTAGCATACTTTAAAATGTGGAGAAAATGAACTACTTTTTTAAAGAAACACATTAAAAAATAGTGGACAAAGGAGTATGTAAAAGGGCATTATAAGGATGCAATCAGCACCATTTAAATTGTCCAAACTCTACTGGAGTTTAAAGTGCAGAGAACATTTTATTACCTGAAACATGTGAGAACGAGTTGCTAAAATAGTGCCACAAATCACCCCTGAATATTAAGAAGGTTCTCCTCTATAAGCATCATATAATCATCACAATCAGAAAAGCTATCATTGGTACATCACTACTTTCTAATCTCCAGACCCCATTTGAATTTTCCAGTTATCTCAATAATGGCACTAATAGCAATAGGATCTAGTCTAGAGTTGTGTTCCAGTTGGTTGTTATGTTTCTTTAACCTTCAGTTTGGAATAGTTCCTCAGTCTTTCTTTGACTTTTATGACTGATGCTTTTGAAGACTACAGGCCAATTATTTTATATTTCCTTGTTTTGGACTTTCCTGGTGTTTCCCTATGATTAGGTTCAGGTTATGCATTTTAACAAGATCATCACTTCTGTGAAGCTGAGCTCTTCATTCTGTCAGATGTCACATGATCTCAATGTATCCAATTACTAATGATGTTCATGATCATTACCTGATTAAAGGTGTATCTTCCAAGCTCTCGTATAATATAGTTAATTTAGTGTATTCTACCTTACAGCCCCACCTAGTCACTCCTTCCAACTGTGGCACCAATGGCGTCATTAAGGCCACTAATTTGGCATTATTTTTATTTGTACAGTTTTGTATCACATAAGCCTTTTTTATTTAATTATTTAGAACATCTCTCTTTTTTTTTGATATGCAGTATCACTTGTTCCTAATATACACATAGGAACATCATACCACTGGTTTCCAACATCTTACTTTTAATATACACATTAATGTGCAGAAAGTTTATTTTTTCAGGTCATTGCAATCTCTTGTGTGGAAGACTGACCAAAGAATTTCTTTTATTCTGTATAGAAACAAACTTAAGTATATAGATATGTGTATTTACATATATATACAAAATCAAGTATATACAAATCAAGTTCACACATCTATATATATATGTACCTCAAATTATTTGTCTAAATATTAGGTTGTTGGAAAATTAAATGTAAAGTACAATTTTGATTTTCAAATGAGAAGAAGTTGAAGTTGAAGGGAAGGTCAGGACGGGGTGAAGTGGGAAAATTATACTGAAGAGGGAGAGCAGTGTCCTCCTCCACCATCAGGAATCATGCCTGCACCTAAGTCTGTGTGCCAAGAGTGAGAGTGGGTGGGGTGTCCCTGCCTCCTGTCTCCCGACATAGGGAGCCAGCGGGTGAATAAGCTCAGCTCTAAGGGTCATGCAGTAAGAAGAGCAAGATGAAAGAGAGAGAACTTTGGGAAAGCTGCCTGTGCTCTGTTATTAACTCTTGTGTAATGCTGAGCAATCCTTTTTCTTCTTGGGACCTTAACTTTCATGCCATGGAAATGAGGAGAGAGGAATCTCTTTCAACACTGCACAATAAAAAATGATAGGTCAGGACTGTAAAATTCTGAGATGAGACAAACAGAAGCATAAACATCAAGGACACTTTTGTCCCCTTTGGGCTCACAGAACCTCTAACCCATAGACATACCTTCCTGTGTTTCACACATTTCCAAAGATCCCACCACACACATCCTTTGGGACTGCTTTCCAAGGAACTGTCCATCTGTCCCCTTGTCCTTGCAGCCTTTTAAGTTAAATGTGTTATATTTCAGACACTCTTAGGGGTAACGACACCCTCTTTGCTACTAATGTTGTAGTTCAGATGTGCTTAGTGTGAGATTTACCTTCAGAGAAATGGTGAGGAGACAGACAAACAGCCTGGAGATTAAAAAAGTAGGAAAAGAGTGTGAAAAGGAGAACTATTGTTCATAGACATCTCCATCTTTCTTTCTGGGCTTGAGTGGAGGTTAGAGGGGGCCGGAGCTTTGCTGTGGAGCTTCCCCATGATTCAGTGAGGTTTATTTATAGAAACAGCTTATGGGACTTCTGTGCTTAGGAAATTTGTAGAGCTGTGTGGAAATTACAAAACCATTCAAAAATAGTGTACTCTTGTTAAAATGTGCTGTATTATTATTATTAATGAAGTTCTTTCTTAGGCATTGGTTCTGATACAGCCTTCTCATTGAAGTACTGTCAGAGACATTCTGCACCATGGGCGATTACTAGTTCCAACAGATTTCTGAAAATTATCACCAAGTGGCTATCTGGTAAAGTGGCATAGAGGAGAAGAAAGGAGGTTCTTTTGTATTAAATTAACTAAATAAGTATGATTGTAAAAGCTGCACTGCCTTCTAGGAATGGAAAGAATTAGTCGTGGGCTTGGGCTTTGCAACTACTTGCCCACAGAGCATCTCTCTCTGTTTCAGGTGGGTGGGGCAAGGAGAAAATATTTCCTTTAGGCAAAGTAGCTAAAAAGCATAAACTAAATCTGTTCCTTCAATGAGTTTTCAAATCTAAGCAAGAAGAGTAGACTATTGCAGTGACAGAAGGCAGGCAAGTGGATTAGAAAGACTTTGAGAGAGACTGTGAGTATCAGAAAACCTCCAAACAGCTTCCCTGACAATCCATGTGATTCACTGTGCTCCATGGACCTTCTCTCACCTTAGTGCAAATTAGGGGCTTGGATTAGGGGCCGAGGTTGAGGTAGGGTTGATGCCTTTAAATTCCAAACATTATTTGAAGGCCTCTTTCTGTGGCAGGAGACTAAATGAATAGCTAAAGAAGAAATAAAGGAACAAACCAAAAATTAAGGCCTAATGTTAATTTTTTTCCATTAAGAATTTTAACAGAAAGACAGAAAGATAAAAATAAATATCCCATCATTGCAAGGTCCAAAGAAAGACAGTCTTAACAGTATTAAATATTTACGTCTTGCTTTTCAAATTTCTATTTTTAAAACACAGCTGCAAATTGTGTTTATTTGTGCAACAACTTAAAAAACATTTTCATTTTGAAATAATGATAGATTTGTAAGAAGTTGCAGAAAAAGGTACAGGGAATTCCTGTGCACCCTTTACTTTGTTTTCTGTCATGGTAACATCTTGCATAATTATAGTACAATATCACAATCAAAAAATAGATTATCCGAATAATCTACAGAGCTTATTCAGATTTTACCACTTTTATATGCATTCATCTGTATGTATGCGTATATAGTTATATGTGACTTTATCATGTGTTTAGATTTGTATACCCATCACAATCTAGATACAGAACTATTCCATTACCACAAAGCTCCCTTACGCTACCTCTCTATAGCCACATAGACCCCTAACGACATCTAATTTTTGCACACTTTCTATGTACCAAGCACTGTTCTGGATACTAGGAATGCATCACTAAGCAAGTAAAAGTCTCTGCTCTATTGAGAAGAGACAAAAAATAAGCAATTCCAAAAACTGAACATATAATATAATAGGTATTAGATGATGAGTTCTATAGATAAAAATACATTTTTGAAATTGGTATTATTTCTTGACAAGCTTATAGATTTAGGCACTAGGCTAAGAATTCAACATGCATAGCTGTTTTGTTTTTCTTCGCAGAAATCTGATGAGGGAGGTATATTTTCTGCCTTTTGCTTATGAACAAAATAAGGTGTATAAAGATTAAATGATTTAATCTGAAATCACAAGGCTGCAAGATGAATAAGTAACATACGCAAGTTTATAATGTGTTTTTTAAAACATCCTGGCATAAGCTTTCTTTCATGTTATTAACAGCTCTTTTAAAATGTTATTTAAATTTCTATGTAATATTTTTTGGTGGATATCCAAGACATGAGCTATGCTAGGCAATGTTTTACAAAGCAATTCCTGTCTTGTGGATTATAGTAGCGCCTGTAGTGCTGTTTTGTATGTTCCACAGTTACCAGCCTTTCATTTATTCAGGATAGGGCACATGGAATTAGTGCTTGCCAATGGGCTGTGAGTAAAATTACGTGGTTCGCTTCCGGTCAGAAGCAATTAAGGTATGAGTTTGTCATATTCTCTTCCCCTGCCACAGTGCCTGTAAAAGCCATATATTGAGATAGCAGAATTTCACGATGGAGCAAGTATGGATCTCTGATCAGTGGATGAAAGAATGCCCCTTGGCTTGCATTTTTGTGTAAAGAAGAAAGAAACTTCTGTGTGCAAAGCCATCGTGTTGTTTATTTTCACAGTAGTAGCCTTGAGTTCAGTTTTTGGACTCTTACATATAATATTGCCTTGAAAAATCATTCCGGATTAAATATTTCTTATGTTTGAGATTTTCTTGCTATATGACTAGAAGTGGAACTAATGGCTCAAAGCTTCTGAGGCTTACTTCCAAGTTGTTTTCCAAAGTGTTGTTTCTATTAAAAATGCATTGAGTGTCATTTCTCACTAAACTATCAAGATCATTAATTACTAAGATCGAGATAATATATTCAAGCACATGAAAGAGACAAAGAAATATCATTGTTGATTTGATTCATACTCATTTCATTATCAGTGAAGTTGACCTTGTTTTCATGCATTTATTTTTTTAATAGCTTTATTTAGGTGTAACTGACCTACAATAAACAGCACATATTAACAGTGTAAAACTTGATAAGTTTTGATATCTGTATATGCCAGTGGAAACATTACTACAATCAAGAAAATGAACATTTGGAGATGATCTCCAAGACTTTCCCTATGCTCATTTACAATCCCTCTCTTCTACTCATCTCTGACTTAAAAGATGTGGCTCCTCTATCTTTGGCTTGCGTTGTTTATGATAAGTCAGCTTTCATCATTATTTTTGTAGTTTTGTATGTATATTTTTTCCCTCTGACGATTTTTAAGGTTTTCTCTTTATTACTCATTTTAAGCAATTTATTATATGTCTTAGTATAGTTTTATGTGTGTGTGTGTGTGTGTGTGTTTGGGGATCACCAAGGTTCTTTGAACTTTGGATTTATAGTTTTCGTCCAATTTGGTAATTGAGGGGGAATTCTTTCTCCAAATATTTTTCCAATTACATGTAAACTAGGTAGATTAAGTTTCTCATATTTTATATATGCTCAGTTAGATTTTTGCTCTTTTTTCTCTTTGTATTTCATTTTGAATAGTTCCTATTGCTGTGTCACCAACTTAACTAATTTTTTTTTTACAGTGCATAATCCTGCTGTTAATTCCATCCAGTTGTGTTTTTCTCTTAGGAACCGTATTTTTCATGTCTAGAAGTTAGTTTTGGTTCTTTAAAAATATTTTCCATGACTTTAATCTTTTAAACATATGATTGCAGTTATAATAATTGCTTTGATGTTTTTGAGTGCTAGTTCAAATGCCTGTGCTAGATTTGGGTCTTCTTTTAATCTTAATTTTTTTTTAGAGGTGGAATCTCACTATGTTGCTCAGGCTGGAGTGCTGTGGCTACTTCACAGGTGAGATCATACCACACTACATCCTCAAACTCCTGGGCTCAAACAACCCTCTCACTTCAGCCTACCAAGTGGGTCTTTCTTGACTGATAGTTTCCTTCTTAAAATTGGTCATATTTTCCTGCTCCTTTGTATACATGGTTGATAGTCATTGTGAGTTTTTGTCATTTTGCGTGCTGGATATTTTTGTATTCCTCTAAATATTCATGAACTTTGTTCTGGCATTCAGTTAAATTACCTGGAATTAGTTTGATCCTTTTGGGTCTTGCTTTTCGAATTTGTTAGGTAGGACCAGAGCAGCATTTACCCTAGGGTTAATTATTCACCACTGCTGAGGGAAGAAGCTCTAAGTACTCTATGCAAAGGGTTATAAATTATCAGGGTTTTTTTTTTTTTTCTGGTCTGATTGATGGGAATAAGCATTGGTACTGGCCCATTGTAGCGCTGGGTTTTGTTCCTTTTAACCCTTGAAGGTAGTTATTTTCTGGTCTCAAGTATTTTATAATGGTGTATAACAGCCAAAACTCTCTTGAAAAAGAATTACAAATTCAGAGGATTTGCACTATTTGCATCTAAGCCTTACTATAAGGCTACAGTAATTAAGAAAGTGTGGTGTTTTTAAAAGATCATGATGAAACCCCGTCTCCACCAGAAATTCAAAAATTAGCCGAGTGTTGTGGCGGTGGCCTTTACCGAGTTTCCATATATCATCATCATCATTATCATCATCATCCAGTATTTATAGTTGCAAGCAACAGATGAAAACTTTGGCTAGTTTTAGCAGAAAACACATTTATTAAGGAGTATTAATAGCTCACGTAATCTCTGAGAATAATGCTTGGAGTTGACTACCGTCAAGAAAAACATTTAAAAAATCATTCTACAGAAGTGATTCTATGAAGGCATTGATGCAGTTTTTTTGGGGGGGAGGCACAGACAGGGTAGTGTGTGCTGCTGATACCCATGGTACACCGGATAATCCTAGAATTGTTAACACTAGTTATTCAGGAAACTGGACTTGCTACTGCCTCTAGTGTCAGTCTCACCACATTTAATTCTGGGCAGTTCCTCCCTTTTTGTATCACTAGTCCTTGACTGGCACAAAAACACCTGAGTAATAGAGACCGGGTCACAAACCTGTGCCCCTACTGCAGAAGATGCTGAGAATATTTTAGCCTCTCCTAAGAGAGGATACCCCAAGCATCAAAGGAAGAAGACGCTGGACAGAAAAACAACATCATGACAGATGTTTACATTTCACATCTTTGGCTCCTCCAACATACATACACTTCTTTCTTCTCATGTTAACAATGCCTCCCACTTAAAACGTTCTCATCTGACACTGTGCACAGTTGGAACACACTAGCCGTCTTCTCAGATGATGTCAGAGTTTCACCCATCTCCGAGACTGGATGTTTTCAACAAATACCAGGCCTCCTCTGGAATGTCAAAATCCTGCCTTGATATTCTATAACCTGTGGACCAATCTGAAAAATGTGCTGCTATGAACAAACCCAAATAAAATAGTAAGGGACAGGAGATGAATGAAGAATTAATAAAACATACCAATATACATGTGACACATCAAGGAGAAAAATTTGTGAAGACGCTATATCCTCATTTCTGTGACTGGCCACGTGGTCACAGTGTTTGTGACTTTTCTGCTCCACCCATTCCATAATCCCTTTGCCCTCACCCAGCTCCTTAGCTTGTTTGGATTATTCACCCAAGGGGTTATCCGAATCTTCATTCTGAAGAAGGAATGTTAGAGTGGGCATTAAGTATGTGGAAACTGAATATCATGTACCTCACAGTCAATCTATTAGACTTCTATTTTTCTCTTTTTTATTTAATAGCCTTGTTTTTTTTTTAATTCTTTTTAATTTTTGAGATGGAGTCTTGCTCTGTCACCTAGGCTGGAGCGCAGTGGCACAATCTC
The DNA here is from genome assembly GCF_000001405.40 of Homo sapiens. Taxonomy (NCBI): domain Eukaryota; kingdom Metazoa; phylum Chordata; class Mammalia; order Primates; family Hominidae; genus Homo; species Homo sapiens. The sequence continues at coordinate 143,916,052 of NC_000007.14, forward strand.
GGCACACTGCAACCTCTGCCTCCCAGGTTCAAGCAATTCTCCTGCCTCAGCCTCCCGAGTAGCTGGGATTACAGGCAGCCACCACCACACCTGGCTGATTTTTTGGTATTTTTAGTAGACACGGGATTTCACCATCTTGGCCAGGCTGGTCTTCAACTCTTGACCTCGTGATCCATTCGCCTCGGCCTTTCAAAGTGCTGGGATTACAGGCATGAGCCATGGCGCCCAGCCCAGCCTTAAGTTTTTAGGATAGCATTTTACCAGCCAGTGCTAATAAATTAAATTCCTGTGGGCCAGCTTGAGACTACAGGCACTCCTACTTAGTAGTTGCTTATGAAAGATATTTGGACATATAGGAGGAAGGAAGGAGCTATTGATACAAGGGCAAAATAAGATGAAATTCTAACCAAGAAAGCCGTTAAGAAGAAATTTGTTTTTTAAAATCGAGCACCAGAAAATATTTGAGAATAAAAATCGGATTTTCCAATAGGCATGAAGACATCTTTGAAGGTTACCTGTAAAACAAGCCCTCTGGGGACATTTTCTTTCACTTGATCTTAGCCAAAAGGCTGAGAAGCAATGGACATTTGGCTTTCAAAGACTGACTTCTCTTTAAATCTCCATAGGCCTTTATGATAATTGGTCGCTATGGATAACATTACTTAATATGTGTAATTTTAGAACATGTATAAATAGTCGTTTTTTGGTTAATCAAAAATATCTTGATTTGTCTTTCTATTTTCTGCATTGTATAAAGGCGAACAAAGGATTTTAGTATATTCCTAATTTTAAAAATGATGCATTTGAGTAATTTTTGATACAACAGGTGTTAACAGTGAAAAATATACCCTTTGGAACCTGGATCTGACTACTCTTCTGGCTCTGGAGGCAACAGAACCATATGCTGGTCACAGATGAGAGCAGTTTCTCAACCCTGGCACTATTGGCATTTTGAGTCATACAGTACTGTGTTGTGGGGGACTGTCCTGTGCAATGTAGAGGGTTTAGCAGCATCCCTGGCCTCTATTCATTAGACAACCGGAAATTTCTCCAGACACCGCCAAATGTCCACAGCTGGGCATTTGCCCCAATCGAGAACCACTCAGCGAGAGCATATACAACAAAGCAACCTCACAAAATATTGTTTTGTAGTTGGAGTCATATTCATTCTTCAATAAGTTATTATACTTGGATAATGGATTACCTTATGAAATTTGTGGACCCTTAAGCATTAGACTAATTACTTTAAAAAAATTCTCAACAATATAGGGAAAATTTTGAGTTTTCAGTTCTTACTAGGAGTGCTTGGAAGCACTTCCGACGTGTTAACTCATTTAGCACTGAGTGCCGCCCTTTGGGGAAGGCACTTTTATTCCTGAGGCACAAATAGGTTAAGAAACTTCCTTAATGCGAAATTGTTAGTAGGGGATAGAGCCAAGATTTTGAAAATTGGTTTTTAGATTTGTTTATTATTATTTTATTACTGGATTTTAAAAATGTTGAAATTAGGGATACATGTGCAGGTTTGTTTCATGGGTATATTGATGCTAAGGTTTGGGCTTCTAATGATTCTGTCAACTAAGTAGTAAAAGTAATACCTGGTAGGTAGTTTTTAACACTTGCCCCCCTCCTTTCCTGTCATGTTTTGGAACCTTCAGCATCTATTGTTCCCATTTTTGTGTCTGTGTCTATGTGTACCCAATGTTTATCTCCCACTTATAAGTGAGAACATGTGGTATTTAGTTTTCTATTTCTGTGTTAGTTCAATTAGGATAGTGGCCTCCAGCTACATCCATATTGCTGCAGAGTACGTGATTTTGTTCTTTTTATGGCTGCATAGTATTCCATACACCACATTTTCTTTATTCAGTCCACTGCTCATGGGCACCTGGATAGACTCCATGTCTTTGCTACTGTGGATAGTGCTGTGATGAACATATTAGTGCAGGTATCTTTTTGGTAGAACAATTTATTTTCCTTTGAGTGTATACCCAGTAATGGGATTGCTAGGTAGAATGGTAGTGCAACTCTTAGTTGTTTGAGAAATCTCCAAACTGCCCTCCCCAATGACTGGACTAATTTGCTTTCCAACAGTGTGTAAGTGACCCCTTTTCTCAACAGCCTCAACAACATCTGTGATTTTTGGACTTTTTAACAAAAGCCATTCTGACTTGTATGATATGGTATCTCATGGTGGTCTTGATTTGCATTTCTCTGATCATTAGTGATGATGAGTATTTTTTATATGTCTGTGAGTTGCTTATATGTCTTCTTTTGAGAAGTATCCGTTACGTTCTTTGTCCACTTTTTAATGCGATTATTTACTTTTTCTTGTTGGTTTATTTAAGTTCCTTATAGGTTGTTCAGTATATTAGACCTCTGTTGGATGCATAGTTTGTGAATATTTTCTCCCATTCTGTGTGTTGTCCGTTTACTCTGTTAATAGTTTCTTTTGCTGTGCAGAAGCTCTTTAGTTTAATTAGGTCCCACTTGTCAATTTTTGTTTTTGTTGCAATTGCTTTTGATGACTTAATCATAAATTCTTTGCCAAGGTCGATATTGAGAAGGGTATTTCCTAAGTTTTCTTCCAGGATTTTTATGGTTTGAGGTCTTACATTAAGTCTTTAATCCATTTTGAGTTAATTTTTGCTTATGGGGATGGGTAGGGATCCAGTTTCATTCTTCTGCATATGGATAGCCAGTTATCCTAGCACCATTTATTGAAGAAAGGAGTATTTTCCAAATTGCTTATTTTTGTTGACTCTGTTGAAGATCAGATATTTATAGGTGTGTGGCTCTATTTTTGGGTTCTCTATTCTGTTCCCTTCTTCTACGTGTTTGTTTTTGTACCAGTACCATGCTTTTTTGGTTACTATAGCCTCATAGTATAGTTTGGAGTCAGGTAATGTGATACCTCTGGTTTGTTCTTTTTGCTTAGGATTGTTTTGGCTCTTTGGGCTCTTTTTTGGTTCCATATAAATTTAGAATAGTTTTTTTTTTAATTCTGTGAAATGATTTGGCAATTTGATAGTAATAGCATTGAATCTGTAAGTTGCTTTGGGCAGTATGGTCATATTAATGATACTTTTTCTTCCAATCCATGAGCATGGGATGTTTCTGTATTTATTTGTGTTGTCTCTGATTTTTTTCAACAATGTTTTGTAGTTCTCCTTGTAAAGGTCTTTCACCTCCTAAGTTAGCTCTATTCCTAGGTATTTTATTCTTTTTGTGGCTATTGTAAATGGGATTGCATTCTTGATTTGGCTCTCAGCTAGAACATCATTGGTGTATAGAAATGCAATTGATTTTTTTTACATTTATTATGTATCCTGAAACTTTGCTAAAGTTGTTTATCAGTTCCAAGAGCCTTTTGGTGGTGTCTTTAGGGTTTCCTAGGTATAGAATCATATTGTCAGTGAAGAAAGACAGTTTGACTTCTTTTTTCCTATTTAGATGCTTTCTATTTCTTTCTCTTGCCTAATTGCTCTGGCTAAGACTTCCAATAGTATATTCAATAGGAGTGGTGACAGTGGGCATCCTTTCTTGTTCCAGTTACCAAGGGCATTGCTTCCAGCGTTTGCCCATTTAGTATAACGTTGGGAGCTGGTTTGCCATAGATGGCTCTTATTATTTTCAGGTATGTTCTTTTGATGCTTAGTTTGTTGCAAGTTTTTATCATGAAGCGATGTTTAATTTTATTGAAGGCTTTTTCTGCATCTATTGAGATGCTCATATGATTTTTGTTTTTATTCTGTTTATATGGTGAATTACATTTATTGATTTGAATATGATGAACCAATCTTGCATACCAGGAATAAAGCCTACTTGATCATGGTGAATTAACTTTTTGATAGGCTGCTGGATTCAATTTGCTAGTATTTTCTTGAGGATGTTTATATCTATGTTCATCAGGGATATTGGCCTGAAGTTTTTTCTTTTCATTGTGTCTCTACCAGATTTTGGTATCAGGATAATGCTGGCTTCATAGAATGAGTTAGGGAGAAGTTGTTCTTCCTCAATGGTTTGAAATAATTTCAATAAGATTGGTATCAGTTCTTCTGTGTACATCTGTTAGATTATGGTTGTGAATCCATCTGGTCCAGGGCTTCTTTTGTTGTTGTTGGTAGATATTTTATTACTGATTTCTGAACTCATTATTGGTCTGTTCAGGTTTTCAATTTCTTCTGGTTCAATCCTGAGAGATTGGGTGTTTGCAGGGATGCATCTATTTTCTCTAGATTTTCTAATTTGTGTGCTTAGAGGTGTTCATTACAGTCTCTGATAATCTTTTGTATTTCTGTGGGATTAGTTATAATGTCATCTTTGTTACTTCTAGTTGTGTTTATTTGGATCTCTGTTTTTTTCTTTGTTAATCTAGCTAGTGGTTTATCAATATCATTCTCTCAAAGGACAAACTTTTGGTTTTATCAATCTTTGTATGGATTTTGGTGTCTCGATTTCATTCAATTCTGCTCTGATTTTACTATCTTGTGTCTCTATTTTCATTTATTTCAAAGAATTTTTTTGTTTTATCTTTAATTTTGATGCTTATCCGAAAGTCCCTCAGAAGCAAGTTGTTTAATTTCCAAGGAATGTGTGGTTTTGAGATATCTTCTAGGTGGTAATTTCTGTTTTTATTGCCCTGTGGTCTGAGAGTGTGCTTAGTATGATTTCCATTTTTTTTTTAATTTATAGAGACTTGCTTTACAGCCAAACTTGTTGTTGATATTAGAGTATATTCTATGTGCAGACGAGAAGAATGTGGTTGTTGAGTGGAATATTTGGTAGATGTCTGTTAGGTCCATTTGGTCTAGTGTTGAGTTTACGTCCAGAATTTCTTTGTTAATTTTCTGCCTTGATGATCTGTCTAATGCTGTCAATCAGATGTTGAAGTCTATTATTGTGTGGCTGTCTAAGTCTTTCTTTTGTAACTTTATTTTAGGTTTGAGGGTACATATGAAGATTTGTTAGCTAGGTAATCATATGTCATGAGGGTTTGTTGTATATATTATTTCATCACTCAGCTATTAAGCCTAGTACCCAATAATTATCTTTTCTGCTCCTCTCCCTCCTCCTACCCTCAAGTAGACCCCAGTGTCTGTTGTTTCCCTCTTTGTGTTCATAACTCTTCTAATCAGTCTAGAGAAAATCGTTTATGAAGGTGGGTGTTTCCAATGTTGGGTGCATCTATATATGCATATGTATAGATAGATTTAGAATATATAATAGATGTATATATTTCTATATAATAGTTGTCTTCTTGTTGTATTGAATCCATTATCATTATATAATGTCATTCTTTGTCCATTTTGACTATAGTTTATTTAAAATCTGTTTTATCTGTTATAAGACTAGTGATCCCTGTTCTTTTCTGTTTTCTGATTGCGAGATAGATCTTTCCCCATCCTTTTACTTTGAGCTTGTCCGTGTTGTTACATGTGAGATGGGTCTCTTAAAGACAACAGATAGTTGGGTCTTGTCTTTTTATCCAGTTTACTACACCATGCCTTTAAGTGGAATGTTTAGATGGCTTACTTTCAAAGTTAACATTGCTATGTGAGATTTTGATCCTGTCATCATATTGTTAGCTAGTTGTTTTGTAGACTTGATTGCGTAGTTGCTTTATAGTGTCTTTACTTCCCAAAATATGCCTGATCTCATCTCATTTCAGATGATGTAGTAATTAAAAAACAATAACAACTTCCTGAAGAACTCCACAGGCTCATATGATCTTAGTGGAAATTTCTACCAATGTTTAAAGAAGAAGTAACATTAATTCTACCTAGTGTTTACCAGAAATAGTAGAGGAACACTTCCAATTTTATTTATGAAGCTAGTATTACTCTGCAAACCAATATCTTTCTAGAATATAGATGCAAAAATTCTTAACAAAATACTTGCAAATAGAATTAATAAATGCATAAAAAGTTATACAGCATGATCAAGGCAAGATTTATTTCAGCAATGTAAGACTTATTCAATGTTTGAAAATAAATCAATGTAATTCACCATATTAACAGTCTAGAAAAGAAAAATTACATGATTATATCAATTCTTGCAGAAAAAGCATTCGACAAAGTTCAATACATATTTCTGATTAAAAATCCCTCAGAATAATGGGAATAGGAGGGAACTTCTTAGCTTGATGAACGTGTCAACAAAAAGTCTACAGCTAATGCTCTACTCAGTGGTAAATGAGTGCTCTTTCCCAAGATCAGGAACAAGATGATGATATCTTCTCTCAGTTCAACATAGTGCTAAACATTCTATCCATGTAATAAAGTAAGAAAGAAAATAAAAACATATAGATTTGAAAATATGAAATAAAACAGTCTGTATTTGCAGATGGAAACATAATTGTGTACACAGAAAATCCTAAGAAATCTCTAAAAAGTTTCTAGAATTAATAAGTGGGTTAAGCAAAGTTAGAGGATACAAGATAAATATACAAAAATCTTGTATTTCTACATGCTAGTAGTAAATAAGCTGACACTGGAATTCAAAGTATAGTACCCTTTATAAGAGCTCAAAAACAAAATAATTAGGTAGAAATCTAACAAATTATGTACAGGAATTACAGAAACATGTAGAAAACTACATATTCTTAATGAAATAAAGTTTTAGTAAGGATTTAAGTAACTAGAAAGACATACTATATTCACAAATTAGAAAACTCAAAATAGTAAAACTTTTAGTTCTCCACAAATCAATATATACGTTTAACATATCAAAGTTTCAGTAAGAACAAAAAAATAACAAAACAAAATAAAAAAAGAAAAAACAAAGTTTCAGCAAGATTTCTTTTCATAAATATAGACAAGAGTATTTTACAATTTATATAAAATAGCAAAGAATGTAGAAGAGCTAATAACAACTTTGCAAAAGAAAAATAAAGTGGGAGGAATTAGTCTATGCAATTTTAATATTTATTATAGATTTACAGTGATCAAGTCAACATTGGAATGGCAAAGGAATAGACACATAGATAACTGGAACACTATAGAAAAGCAGGAATAAACCCACACAAAAACAATCTACCGACTTTTGACAAAGGTGCAAAAGCAATTCAGTGGAGGAAATATAGCCTTTTTGACAAATGATGCTGGAGAAATTGGCCATCCATAGGCCAAAAATAACTAGATAAATAAATAAAAGCAACTCCATTGACCTTACAACTTATAAAAAAGTTAACCCAAATGGGTCATATACTTAAATGTAAAATGCAAAACTATACATTTTTTTTCAAAAAAAATAGGAGAAACACTTTGACATGTAGAATAGGCAGAATTCTTAGACTTGAGACAAAATGCAAGATCCATAAAATGAAAAATGATAAATTGGACTTCACCAAGATTAAAAACCTCTTCTCTGAGAAAGACTCTATTAAGAAGACAAAAAATTAAATTATACTTCACCAAGATTAAAAACTTCTTCTCTGAGAAAGACTCTATTAAGAAGACAAAAAATTAAATTATAGGCTGGGAGAATATATTTGCAAACTCCATGTCCAACAAAGTACTACTTTCTAGAGTACATAAAAACTCCCAATATTCAACAGTAGAAAAGCAAACAATCCAGATAGAACTTGGACAAAAGACACAAAGAGATATTTTACTGAGTAAGATATACAGAAGGCAAATAAGCACATATGATTTTCAACATTATTAACTGTTAGGAAAATGAAAAGAAAAACCATCAGAAAGACTAGAGTAAAAATGGCTGACAATTCCAAATGTTGATGAGGATGAAGAAAAACTGGATCATTCATCCATTTCTGGGAGAAATGTAAAACAATGCAACCACTCTGGAAAATGGCTTGGCACTTTCCTGAAACAACAAACAAAAAACCCCAAGACCTAATCAAGCAACTACCAGCAGTTGTATCCCTGAGCATTTATCCCAATGAAATGAACACAATGTTCACACAAAAAGCTGTACATGAACATTTGTGGCAGCTTTATTAATTATAGCCTGAAACCAGAAATAATCCAGATGTCCTTCAACATGAGTATGGTTAAACAAAAGGTATGTACAACAGAGTATTTCTTAGCAATAAAAAGAAATGTAGTATTGACATACATGAAAACCTAAATGAATCTTCATGAAATTATGCTGAGTGAAAAAAGCCAACCCCAAAAGGGATATACTGCATGATTTCATTTATAGATCATTCTTAAAATGCCAAAATTATAGATATGGAGAACTGATAGTGACTACCAGAGGTTATGGAGAGGATGGGGCAGGACAGAATTGGGTTGGGTGTGGCTCTGAAAGAATATCAGCATTAGGTTTTCTTGTGGTGATGGAAATGTTCTGTATCTTTAATATATCAATGCCAATATCTTGGTTATGATATTTTAGTATAGCTTTGCAAGATGTTACCATTGATGAAAATTGGATAAAGGGCACAAGGGATACTTCTGTATTATTTCGTAAAATAATGCATGAATCCACAATGATCTGAAAATACAAAGTTTAATTGACAATAAAATTTGAAGAGGTGTAGAAATTTCATACTTTCACAAAATTAAGGATTTTGGATGATCTTGATTCTTTTTTATTTTATTTTTGCAATAGCCAGTAATACTCCTTTTACCAACATTATGCAGATTTGCAGTTTTCAATATGTCTATGTGATGCTACTATAATTGGACTTTAAATTGTACCATAAGAAATGTACTAGCTTCTCTGACTTTTTGGAATGACCTAAGACTTCAGTGAAGATGTTAGAGGAGAGAGGAATGGAGGAAAACAGCTTTCCACAGGGAGAAGAAGGGCAGAAGAGAGGCCCTGCCCTTGAGAAATGGGAGTGGTGACAACAATTAACATTCTAAGACTCCTAAGGGGAATCCGTCCACTCTACATTGTCAATGGAGCTGCTGCCAAGCTTTGTTAGGCCTGTGTTCTAGCTGTTTTCAGAGCTCTTGTCAACTTCCTCCCAGCAGTGTTTCTCATAATCACAATTAATCCTCAGTGATTTATGAGTTCAGGAGCCCAAGGAATTTGGGATATCTAATCTACATGGTCTATCACTTTGTTGGAGGAAGGCTAAAAGCCAACTTAAACCTGGACTGAAGTAGGCATGTCTGTTTTGTCAGGCACTGATTAATGTTAGAGAGGCTTCCACAGGATGTGGGATTGTAGGTTTAGAAGGGAATGAAATAGAAATAATTTGACTTCTTAGGGACTTTGGATTAGGAGTATGGGACATGGCTGGTAAAAATCCTCTCATCCTAAGTATTATAGCAAATGTAAAATAACTGCTTTGCAGAAGCTTGAGACTTGGGTACATTTTATTTTCAACAGACTTCTCAATTTTGATATTTAGTACTAACCTAGAGAGAGAATAATACTTAGAGAATCCCAGAAGTATAAAATTTTTATTTAGGTATTGATATTGATTAGCAGGTGGTAGGAATATTAGTATAGTACATTTCCAAGTAAGATAAATTGCCAATTGCTTTAAAGCTTCCTGTTTCAATTTATTTCCCTAAGGGTTTCATCTACACAAAATTATGATTTTCCTTTTAATAACAGAAAAATGGAAATGTAAGTTGATTAACAGTTTATTCAAAGAACTTTGGCACTCAGAGAGTGACCTAGAGCTAGAATTTAGGTCTCCTAAATCTTATTCTAGGGTTGGTTTCCCTAGAATTGGCTGTACGGATTGCACTATGAAGACTTGCTAACGGAAAGAATTATACTTTATACCGCAAAAGAATGCACTATTCTTAGCTACAGGTGGCAAGAGATATAAAGAAGGTGAACGTTTACACAATAAGACCATAGTAAAATATGCTATTAAAAGTGAACATCAGGGTTGCACGTATTTTAGAAGCAGGATCTAAATAATTGGACTCCGATATGTGAAAAGTCAGATAACCAAACCAGACTGGAAGAGGATAACAAGATCCCAAAGAGGAAAAAAAATTGTTCTTCCAGGATGTCAAACCTATCTTTGAGATATTCATCATCCAAAGGGTCCTGGGGTTCTCTTTTTCCAAATATTAGGATAATGCAAATATTCCTGCTCATGGTGGACGCACACTGTGTTTACATCAGTCAACCCTTCAAACATGAGTCAGAGAAATCTTTCTCTAAATGAAGGTGCCATTTCTATTGACAGCTCAACTTCGTAAAGGTATGACTTTGAGTTGTTTTGACTAGTAGAAAGAAACATTTGCCCTTTTTTGCTCTGTTTCTGTATTTAGGCTTTCACTTGTCCTAGCCAAGATTATTTAGATCCCCAATACGGAAGGTCAAATATGTTAAATGCTAAATAATTAGATTCTCTTGATTTACACAAAAAACCATAACTAACTAAAATAGAAACTTTTAATTATCTGTATTGTTGTATAAAATGTTTTATATATTAGGAATCTAAAAATTTGTTTTTTGCTTGTATCCTCTGTCATAGGAAGAAGACATCATGTCTCTGTTTACTGTAACCATTAATAAAGGCTAATAACAGACAGTACATGATGATACTTTTAACTAGGGCAAACAAAAGTAATATTTTAACAATGAGGTTTGGTCTTTGCTATCTATACCTCATGTCTAATTTTCCCTACAATGTAAATGTCATTCCTCCTCTCTACCCATTTGTAAGGGTCTCAGTTTTCTGCTCTTGCATGACTTATTTTAAAGGGTCACAATAAGGCCAGGTAATTCATATTTTAAAAATTCCATTTAGAATAATTACATCTAAAAATTCACAAGAAAGACAATTTCAATATAAAATAATAAATTACTAATATTGGAATTTCAAGCATTAGTCATGGCAAAAAAGAGATAATTTGTAGCAGAATATTTTAATGGCAACTTTCTTATTCTATCACTTATTGTGTTCTATTTGTTATGACCAAAGAAATTACTCTATATCCACTACAATTCATAAAACAGGCATGAGGAAGTCTTTTTTTCTTGGTGCTCATGTCTAAGAAGATGAACCTCAGAGGTATGTCATTTTTCAATACTATGTTCTGAACAGACAGCACACATTATTTTTGAATGGACAACAAAATCTCAAAACATATATAGAGAGGTATGGTTTGAGGTGTGTCCAGTATGAGGATAATATGACCCAGCGGATGTAAAATTGGATTTTATTATTAAAGGAAAATGGGGTGTCTTCAAAAAGATAAAACAGCGGGAGTTGGGATGAGTACTGAGAAAAGAGCACAAAAACAGGCTTGTAGAGGAGGAAGATCTCAACAGAGCTGACTCTTATCTGTGCTCACATTCAAAACTGACTTTTGAACAAAAGCTGCATCCTTTGCCCTATACTATAGTCCCAACTACTCTGGAGGCCAAGGCAGGAGAATCACTTGAACCTGGGAGGTGGAGGTTGCAGTGAGCCGAGATCGTGCCACTGCACTCCAGCCCGCGCAACAGAGCAAGACTCTATCTCAAAAAAAAAAAAAAAAAAAAAAAAAACAAAAAAAGGAGAAATAGAAAATATGATTCAAGGCTCTGTTTCTTATCCCCCTTAAGGCTAGGGGAATGAGAAATATAAAGGTGAAAATTTACACAATAAGACCATAATAAACTATGTTACCAAAGGTGAATGTCAGAGATGCACATATTTGAGAAACTGGGTCTAGATAATTGGACTCAGATGTGTGAAAAGTCAGGTAACCAAACCAGAATTCTTTGCACAGAGAAAAATGGATCAAATGTTCTCAAAAATCTATCTTTTTTGATGTTGTCTTTCACTGATGTTGATATCAATGAGAAACAGGTTTTGGGATAGTTTCAGATCCCCTGAAACACTGGAGTAGACCAGGCTTTAGACTTCTGACACCAAGTGTTTGGATATGCAGAACACCATCTAGCAAGTATTTCATTCTTCATTCTGAAGACAGATTAGGAATCCAGCTCTATTTAGCTGAAAGCTGAGTCCAAGATAATGAGGAGATGGTGTTAACTGCAGGTGTGTCAAAATCATCTAACACATTTCCTCCTCCATTTATCTTTATAAATGCAGACACTATTTCTATTTTTTTTATCTGCCATGAATCTAAGAAGGGCTCTATGGCTAAAAACCAGGAATATTTGGATATCAGTTATTTTAGGTTTAAATTATTTTAAAATCAAGGCAATGCTAAATATAGTCTGATGGATTAAAAATAATTAGCTGACATACTTGTGAATGGTATTTAGCATTAGAGGGATATTTTAGTGAAAACTTTGCTCTAAACACATCATGATAATAAATGCTACAACTAATAAAATAAAAGATAGGATAGGACCTATTATCAAGAATTTGGACACTCCTCTGTCCAGAATATACTTAGCCCTGTAGTCAGACATCGTAAGATATGTTTGTACATGATTATAATTTAGGTATGAATATATTTTAGGATAATCAGTTTGGTTTACAGTGTAAGGTGGTTTGGAGTGGGCCCAGGGCAAATCAGTGAGACTCATAAGCAGGTGATTGTATTTCATCAGATGGGAAGTGATGAGGCATGTGGGCATGTGTTAAGGCATTAGCAGTGTGAATGAAAACTAAGGATAGATGGGAGGTATGTAACACAAGAATACAAGAAGCTGATATATTCCAAGGAGGGGCAAGAAAGAGAAAAATTAAACATGATACATTGGGAGAGTGGAAGAATTTTAGTTCCATTGATAGAAATAAGGGAGTCAGGTGCTTGTAGAGATGTGAGTTGAGTCTATGGTGAAATATTTAGAATACATTCATTAAGCTGTTGAAGGAGGCAACTGAACCTTTGGAGAGAAGTATAGGAGATAAATATAGAATTGAGATTGGGCCATATAAAGTTGATAAGAATTATTATAGTTAAGATAAGTCCTTCAAAGAAAAGCTATAGAAAGGAGAGAGCAAGTTCTGAGCACAGAAACTTAGAAAATACTTACAGCGATGGAATAAGAAAAATTTGAAATAATTATCCAGGAATACAGAAAAAAAATAAGTTTGGAATAAAATCAGGACAGAAGAGTTTCACAGAGTTGAGAGTTTTAAGAAACAAGTAGTTAAATGTGTTAAAAGACAAACAATGAAGGTAGAATAAAAGTCTCTGGATATGATTTTTAGAAAGCTACAAGTGACCTCTAAGAGTGCAATTTCTATAGATTAGTGAAGGTGGAAATTAGATTTTCAGGGCCTAAAGAATGAATGTTATGAGGAAATAAACCCAACAAGTGGATACCAATCCTTTGGGAATGCTGGATGTGAAAGAAAAGAGAGAATTAAAATGATAATTATGTAGCAAAAGGTCTTCTCCCCAAAAGAACTGTATAGTTTTTATAATGAGCAAGTGGGAGCTGATCAAGAGCAAGATAAACCAGAGGATGCTAGGAGGGGGAATAATGAAAGAATATGCTATGAAAGTTATCAAGGGCATGAAATGAAAGGTCAACCAATTATCATCAGTAAATGATGAGCACTAAAGTGATTCAGTCATTAGTGTAGCAACTTTAGATCTTCAGTGCATTAGATTTCACCAACATATCTTTCAATTAACCAATATTTATCCATATTTTACAGATGAAGAAATATGAAGTGCGTAAAGGCTAAGTAGCTTGTTCCAGGTCTCAAGAAGCAGAAAGGGATGTGGATTGTTTGGCTTTGAGGCTCATGCTTTTTCTAGGATGTGATGCTGTCAATCAGTCATAGTGAGACAAAGGCTGTAGTAGAGAGATGTGCAGAGTGGGTGAGAAGAGCATATGAGTCATGGGCTTGCATGTTCTCCAGGCAGCTGTCATAGTGCAGCAGAGGAACAAATTTTGTGATAACAATTTGTTCTGTGTCTTTCACTCCACTTGCCAGGTCAGCTCTTTGAGGACAGGGAAATGTAATATTCACCTTGAAATCTCAGCATCTAGTAAAAATGGCACTTCATAGTTGTTTGCCAAATTAATTGAAAATGAAATACCTGCTGTGGAGGCAGATCTGCTATATAGTCAACAAAGGTTTCCAGATGTGTTTTTTCTTTTATGCTAGAAAGCTTAAGCAGCCATTTTCCTACCATCTTTTTTCTGAGACCATATGCAAAGGCTTTCTTAGAAAAATAAAAAGAGTGAGTAGGAATAAACAGAACAATAGAAAAATAAAAATAACAAGATATATTTACCACTCCCCTTCCTCTTTTGCCAAAGATTGAAAGAGCCTAAATCCTCAGTAAGACCCAAAGTTCCCAGGAACTTCAAATAGTATAAGTTACCTCCAAGACTTTAAATATATTAACAGTTTTGCTTCCTTTTTCAAAAAGTCTGAACTTGAGGGGATGTAAGGGGAAAACTTGTTTGTTACTTTGTCTCCCCCAGAGTAGAGGTCATATTACCACTAATACCTGTACTGCTAGAGTACTACTACCTAACATACCTTTCACCAACATACCTTTCAATTAACCAATATTCATCCATATTTTACAGATAAAGAAATATGAAGTGCATAAAGGCTAAGTAGCTTGTTCCAGGTCTCAAGAAGCAGAAAGGGTTGTGGATTGTTTGGCTCTGAGGCTCAGTTTATGAAGAGGTTTCTCCATGAGTTATCTATATTTGAGCTTACATATCCTAGTGAGTTATGTAATATTATCCCATTTTGAATATAAAAAATTAAGTTTATAACCCAAATCACACACCTGGTAAGTCATAAGAAACAAGATTCACATCCAGATTCTCTAATACTCTATCTTTCCGTTGTTACTATACCTCTGTCTCTTCAGAATCTTTTTTGGTAATTTATTTATACATTTCATCATGTTTGATGTAGTAGATATATGCAGGGTAGATATATATGCAGGGTAGATATATATGCAAGGTAGATATTTGAACCATGTTTATATTCATTGTTTACCATTTTACCTACCATCCTTCCTCGCCTGGATACTGTACAGAAGGATGTTCAGTGCGCATTTGAAAAGAAGCTGTATTCTGCTGCTGTTGGATGGAATGCTCTGTATATGTTTGTTAGGTCTATTTGGTCTAAAGTGTTTTTCATGTCTAATGTTTCCTCATTAATTTTCTGTCTAAATGATTCTTCCATTGTTGAACCTAGTGTATTGAAGTCCCCTACTGTTATTGTGTTGCCGTCTATCTCTCACTTCAGATCCTTTAATATTTGTTTTATTTATTTAAGTGCTCCAATGTTGGCTGCATATATATTTATAATATTTATATCTTCTTGATGAATTGATCCTTTTATCATTATATAATGCTTTTCTTTGTCTTTTTTTTTTTTTGAGATGGAGTCTCGCGCTGTCACCAAGGCTGGAGTGCAATGGCGCAATCTGGGCTCACTGCAATCTCCGCCTCCCAGGCTCAAGTGATTTTCCTGCTTCAGCCTCCTGAGTAGCTGGGATCACAGGCACATGCCACTGTGCCCAGCTAATGTTTGTATTTTTAGTAGAGATGGGGTTTCACCATGTTGCCCAGGCTCGTCTTGAGCTCCTGATCTCAGGTGATCCACCCGCCTCAGCCTCCCAAAGTGCTGGGATTACAGGCGTGAGCCACCGCACCTGGCCTTCTTTTTTTTATAGTTTTGACTTAAAATCTGTTCTTCTCATATATGTATAGCTACCCTCGCTGTATTTTGTTTTCTATTTGTGTGGATTATCTTTTCTCATCTCTTCCCTTTCAGTCCATGTGTATCCTTAAAAGTGAGCAGAGTCTCTTGTAGGCAGCGTATAGTTGAGTCTTCTTTTTTTTTTTTAATCCATTCAGCTACTCTATGTCTTTTTTATTAGAGAATTTAGTCCATTTTCATTTGAAGTAATTATTGATAGGTATGACTTACTACTACCATTTGTTAATTGTTTTCTGGTTTTTGTTTTTTTCTGGTTCTACTTTTTTTTTTTTTCTTCCTCTCTCTCTTGCTGTCTTCCTTTGTGGTTTGATGATTTTCTGTAGTGGTATGTTTTGAATCAATTCTATTTTTGTTTTGTGCTTTGACTAAATATTTTTGCTTTGTGGTTACCAAGATGCTTACATAAAATATCTTACAGTTAAAACAGCCTATTTCAAGCTGATAACCACTTAACTTTGATTGCATCCAACAACTTTACACTTTTAGTCCCCCAGCCACATTTTATGTTTTTGATATTGAAATTTACCATTACTTTTTTTTTTTTGATACCATGTTTCGCTCTTGTCATCCAGGCTGGAGTACAATGGTATGATCTCAGCTCACTGCAACCTCTGCCTCCTGGGTTCAAGCAATTCTCCTCCTGTGCCAGCCTTCCAAGTAGCTGGGTTTACAGGTGCCTGCCACCATGCCCAGCTAATTTTTGTATTTTTAGTAGAGACAGGGTTTCCCCATGTTGGCCAGGCTGGTCTCAAACTCCTGACCCTCAAATGATCCACATGCCTCAGCCTCCCAAAGTGTTAGGATTACAGATGTCAGCCACTATGCCCGGCCCAGAATTTACCATTGCTTTTAATGTGTATCTTTCAGTAACTTATTTTAGCTGTAGTTGTTATTAGTAATTTTGTCTTTTAATACTTGTACTAGGGATATAATTGCTTTATACACCATCATTACAGTCCTAGAGTATTCTGAGTACGGCTCTGTTTTACTTATATTACTGAATTTTCTATTTTTGTAAGTTATATGTTATTAATTAGTAATATTTTGCTTCAGATTGAATAACTTTCTTTAATAATTCTTATAAGGCAGACCTAGTGGTGATGAGCTCCCTTAGCCTTTGTTTGTCTGGGAAAGTTTTTATTTCTTTTTTATTTCTGAAATGCAGGTATTTCTGGGTAAAGTATTTTTGATTGGCAAGTTTTTTACTTTCAGCATTTTGACTATATCATCCCAATCTTTCCTGGCCTGCAGGATTTCTGCTGAGAAATCGGCTAAGAGTTGTATTGAAACTCCTTTTTATGTGATGTGTTTCTTATCTCTTGATCCTCTTAGAATCCTTTTCTTTTTGTCTTTGAGTTTCAATAGTTTGATTATTATGTGTTTTGCTGAACTCCTTTTTGGGTTGAATTTGATTGGAGATCTTTGAACTTCTTGTGCCTGGATGTTGGTTTCTGTCTCCAGATTAGGGAATTTTTCAGCCATTATTTCTTTAAATATGGTTTTTGCCCCTTTTTCTCCTTCTCCTCCTTCTGCAACTCCTATTATATAAAGGATTGGTCTCCCATAATTCCTACAGGCTTTCTTCGTTCTTTTTCATTCTTTTGTCTGTTTGCCCCTCTGACTGGATAATTTCAAATGTTCTTTCAGCTCACTGATATTTCTTCTGCTTGAGTCTGCCATTGAAACTTTTAATTGAATTTTTCAATCCAGTCTTTTTATTCTTCATCTCTAGGATTTCTATTTGGTTCTTTTTTATTGTTTCTATTTATTTGTAAAACTCCTCATCTTGTTTGTGTATTTTTTTCCAAATTTTTTAAAATTTCTATTGGTACTTTTTTTTAACTTAAGAGGATTATTCTGAATTTTTTGTCACCCCATAAATCTCCATTTCTTTAGGGTCCATTATTAGCCCTTTATTAGTTTCTTTTGGAGGTGTCATAACTCCCCAGTGCTTTGTAATCCTTGTGTCTTTGCATTGTTATCTTTTCATTTGAAGAGATACCCCCTCCTTCTGGCCTTTACAGGTGTTCTTTGGCAGGGCTAGACCTATACTATTTAGTGTAGCCTGTAATTCTTCAAGGGCCAGCTGGTAATGGCCCTGGGCAAGCAAAGCTAACTGTGGATTTTCTACCTGCCTGGGATGCTGTCTTTGCTCTGATATTGGCTGGGGCTATTGACTGGGCCCTGCTGTCTGGCAAGACCACTGGCTGAGCTCTGTTATCACACAGAGCTACTGACTGCGTACTGCAATGGCTTCTGGTCAGACTAGTCACAGAATTTATTCCCTGGCTGGAAAATTATGCTTTCTGGGATTTGCAGTTGGGCAGGGCTGTAGGCTGAACTCCAAAGTTAGGAGAAGTTGCTGCTTAGAATGATTGAGGCCAGAGGCTACACTCAGAAAAACACAATTGATGGTTGCTTCCCTGTTAAGGTGGAGCTTCCTTGTAGGGTTTCTTCCCTTTAAGATGGGCTTTTGGCTGAATTGAGTTTGACTTCCCAGGTCAAACAGTTCTAGCCCTCATGCTTCTCTGAAAGGCATGTAGATGTCCTTGATGGGGCCTTTTAGCTGAGTAGAGCCATGGATTGACTTCCTGGGTTAAGCAGGTCTACCTCATGTGTGTTTCTGAAATGGGTGGAGGTGTGTATCTCCTTGTCTTGGCAGAGGTCACTGGTGTGGGCTCTGAGACTGGACATGGGGACTAGCTATCTAAGGCCTCAAGCTAGGTTGTACTTCCCACCATGCTTCTGAAGATGACCAGCTTAGCTTTGTAAATGAACTATGAAGTTGACTAGTGTCTCAGATTGGGCACCACAGCTAGCAAGAACACAGAGGTAATGCCATGATCTGTGTGCTGGTCACTAAGACCTCTGCCTCCTTTCTTTGTTTTTACTTGACACCAGGTAGTCTAGCTATGCTGTTACCCCCAGTGTTCTCCATGAGATAAGCCCAGAGTGGGATTTCTGAGAAGCATCTTGGAAAACTAGAGATGCTGAATGACTGCCTCTAGTTTTCCTTTCCTCCTGTAAAAACCATGGGCCCAGGAAAACCCTCTTTGTCTGGTGTTGTGTTGACTTTGGCAGGAGGCAAGGTGGCAGGGTTGAAGTGAAACTATGCTTCTTAGCCTTCTAATTCAATTTTCATTCCACGTACCTTGTGGTTGTCTCATGTTAGTGTCCAAGTAGTGGAGTTTTAAAAGAGATATTCTGGTCTGGGGATAGTTGCTAGTTGAATGTTCTGTGGAGAAGAGTAGAGCCTGGGACTTTCTATTCTTCCTTTTTGCTGACATCATCAGAAAACAAACTCCCTGCCCTGGATACTGAGGTAAGCTAGTAAAGAGGTAAAGCTTCCAAAAATTGCACTGCATTATCTACAGGCTTTAACTGGCTTATTTGAGTCCACATCATGTCCTTATGAAAGCACTACTGTCTCTCTAATGCAAAGTAAATATAGTGTATGTTGGAAACAAGCCTGTCATCTTGGCCTTGTGAATTATCTAAAATATTTGGCCAAGGCTGGAATGTCGTATACAGTATGCATTCCTAAGAAGTTATTCTTATGATTCTTTGATTCAACAGCTTCTGTTTTTTTCTGACTCTTTCTACAGATTAATATTCCTCACATTTTTAAATGGAAATAGATAACCAGACGTGGGTGAGAGAATTTATTCTCCTTGGCTTATCCAGTGACTGGTGCACTCAGATATCCCTGTTTTCCCTGTTCTTGGTCACATACCTCATGACAGTGCTGGGGAACTGTCTCATTGTCCTTCTGATCAGACTGGACAGCCGACTCCACACTCCCATGTATTTCTTTCTCACCAACCTCTCCCTTGTCGATGTCTCCTATGCCACAAGCGTAGTCCCCCAGCTGCTGGCACATTTTCTTGCAGAACATAAAGCCATCCCATTCCAGAGCTGTGCAGCCCAGTTATTTTTCTCCCTGGCCTTGGGTGGGATTGAGTTTGTTCTCCTGGCAGTGATGGCCTATGACCGCCATGTGGCTGTGTCTGACCGCCTGCGATACTCGGCCATCATGCATGGAGGGCTGTGTGCTAGGTTGGCCATCACATCCTGGGTCAGTGGCTCCATCAACTCTCTTGTGCAGACTGCTATCACCTTTCAGCTGCCCATGTGCACTAACAAGTTTATTGATCACATATCCTGTGAACTCCTAGCTGTGGTCAGGCTGGCTTGTGTGGACACCTCCTCCAATGAGGCTGCCATCATGGTGTCTAGCATTGTTCTTCTGATGACACCTTTCTGCCTGGTTCTGTTGTCCTACATCCGGATCATCTCCACCATCCTAAAGATCCAGTCCAGAGAAGGAAGAA
The DNA here is from genome assembly GCF_000001405.40 of Homo sapiens. NCBI lineage: Eukaryota > Metazoa > Chordata > Mammalia > Primates > Hominidae > Homo > Homo sapiens. Next base: position 143,935,936 of record NC_000007.14, read on the forward strand.
AGAAAGCCTTCCACACGTGTGCCTCTCACCTCACGGTGGTTGCCCTGTGCTACGGCACAACGATTTTCACTTACATCCAGCCCCACTCTGGTCCCTCAGTCCTTCAAGAGAAGCTGATCTCTGTCTTCTATGCCATTGTTATGCCTCTGCTGAACCCTGTGATTTATAGTCTAAGGAATAAAGAGGTGAAGGGGGCCTGGCATAAACTATTAGAGAAATTCTCTGGGTTAACATCCAAGCTGGGAACTTGACTCATGAACATTACTTTAAGAAGAAGCTTTGCCTCATTTTTCTCCACCCAGCTCAGATATGGCAGGGATAAACTATGTTGCTCTGGCAACCGGGAAGGAGATGATGTAACATGTACTGGGGATGTTATGTAGGAGGCTGAGTGGTTGAGTTGGATGGGGTGTGGGATGTGGGGATAATTTTATATCCCAGCAGTATGATTAGTGGAGTTAGCTACTGCTGTAACAGAACCTTCCACAATTTCTCAATCTCCACTCTTATGTTCTGATAAAAACTGAAAAAAAGTACTACTTACTGTTTTGGTTTGTCACATTATTTATAACCGTAGACCTATTCATACATCTTACCTTGGACCAGTGGTTCTTATTTATTGACATTTTGTAAAGGTTGTAGTGTTTGCATTGAAAACAAAATGCATTTTCACATTTGAAGACTCACTGAAAATAATTGGTTGTTTATGTAGCCACATACAATAATTATGAATCAACATTCCGAGAAGGATGTTGTTTGTCAAGGCTTATTAAAATGATTTTGTGCAGGACCTTCGAAATGTGAACAAAATGTCTTTCTCTGAGTGCTGGAAGTAATTCAGTGAAGAAATATCAATGAAAGTTCTTATTTTGCCCTGATAGGGTTAAAAAATGGTTGTTTGTAATGAAGACTATTATTAGCCAAGGAAAATTTAAGTTTCAGGCATTACTCACAGCACTCAGTTTGAGAGAAATTTTACTGTATAAGAGGTATCATTTAACATATTAAAATTGTCCAATCTCAGGAAAATTCACAAACTCCATTTTTTAATGTTTAGAAACAAAATAAGCAATAAATTATGAGATAATTTATAAAACATCAAAGACATAGTTAATCTAAGAAATGACACTCTTCAGCCAATACCAATGAAAGAGAAGACAATTTTAACATGAATTTTGAGGAGTCAGGATAGATGCCTCACCTGTGCAAATGTTACCTTCAAGCTTCCATATTAAGGACTTTTCTTATTTCTTCTCACACATACAGTAGGGCACTAGTCAACTTTCTAAACCTAGTCATCTGAGCTCGAGAGTGGGCCTCACTGCTGCTAAAATTTATAAATAATACAAAAGAAGAAGAAACAAATATATAAGGTAAAGAAGGGGAAAGAGGAGAAAAATTATGATAGTAGCTGATCATCTCACTTGCTTGAAGTAACCTAAGTCGTGTCTCTTCTTTCAGTAAGTTAATTTTCTGTTCTTCCATTGGTGACCACGTTGTCACAGATCCTCAGGTATTTATGAAGGTTCATATAATCCAAAGCCCTTTTGAAATATCAGTTTTACCTTAATTACTATTCTATCTTAAATTTTGCAAGGTAGGCAAGCATCCCCAAAAATGTCAATGGCAGCAAACTAAAATTTCTATTGGTGTTAACTTAAGCATTATCAATGGAGTGTCTAGTACGTGTCAGTGACAATGAATGGTTCTGGAGACTCTGTAGTGAATATGATACAATTCTGGGTTGCATAGCAGGGATGATGGATAATGAAGCAATTATAAAGTAATGTTGTAAATATTACAGATAGAGTAAGCCCATCAGGGGTGTCACAAAAGTCTTCCTGTTAAAAGAAAACAACATAAAATGTCTAGATTGAGACCAGGAAAGTGAGAGCAAGTTATCCAGATGAAAAGGAACTGGAGGAAATGAAAAACCTGAGCCAAAGTGCAGAGGGCGAGACTTGAGTATCCAGAAATATCTGGAAGCTGCACTTGTAGGGCAGAGAAGAGTGAGGAAGTAGTGAGAAGTAGTGAGGATGAAGTGGATGGGTAGGTATGCATTGGTTCATGGCGGGCACTGAATGCCACATTATCTTTCAACTATATCCTAATAGCAATGGGAAGTCAGTAATGATTTTTTTTTTTGACAGACTTTTGCTGTGTCTCCCAGGCTAGAGTGCAGTGGCGCGATCTCGGCTCACTGGAACCTCCGCCTCCTGGGTTCACGCCATTCTCCTGCCTCAGCCTCCCTAGTAGCTGGGACTGCAGTTGCCTGCCACCACGCCAAGCTAATTTTTTGTATTTTTAGTAGAGATGGGATTTCACAGTGTTAGCCAGGATGGTCTCGATCTCCTGACCTCGTGATCCACCTGCCTAGGCCTCCCAAAGTGCTGGGATTACAGGCGTGAGCCACTGCGCCCGGCCAGAAGTCAGTAATGATTTTTAAGCAGAAGAATGGCTTGATAAATTTTACATTTCTGAAATATCACTGGCAAATGAGATAGAGGAATAAAAAATTGGAAGCAAGAAGTCAATCTAGTGGGCTGCTCCATTAATGCCATTTAGACACTAGAGGAATCTGAACTAAGGGTGTGACAGTCGTCTTAGGCCTGCAGGGCTGAGCTCAGCAGGCTGGGTGAGCATAGACAGGTCAGTTCACGGTAAATATCAAATGGAAAAATGTGGAGATCACTGAGTTTTGAAGCATAGGTGCAGATAAAAGAGGAAATTGCATCATTATCATTATAGTAAAAATTTCAAGGCTGCTTACCCAGACATTAGGCCTTGATGACCTAGTTCACTAATTAGAAAAGTTATTGCTGTATACGGTGTAATGTTGAAGATACTGACATGAATGACTCACTCTGTGTGGGCTTCAAGGATCATTGACTTATGATGAGCTTTAATGAAATACAACGTGTCCCCTGCCTATATTTCAACCTATTCTTTGCACTACTTGTTTCTTGGATCAAGAGCAAACCAAGTTAGAAGGAAACTGGATCTCCAATCTGGATCAGATTCTGTGGTCTGGTCTGTTGAGGCTTAAGACCATGTGCTCCTGCTGAGTCCTCATAAGATGACTCCTGTAGACAGGGAGTTAAGAAGTGTGAAGTGTATGGTGTCAAGATGGAACAGACACTACCCAGGCCTTATCCCTCCCTGTGGAGGGAAGTAGGTTGGGTTCCACAGACTTTCCTGAGAGATGGACTGGTCTGGGGCCTCCATGGCTGGGCTGGAAGGCTGGGTGGGTCACTATAGTTTCTGCCTCTCGGTCCTTTTCTTCTGAGTTATGAAATGAATAAAGATACAGCCAAAAAACTTTCAAGAAGGGAATGGATCCCTTCTGCTCTAGTGATCAAGAAAGCATAGATGTGTCTAGAACTGGTTAGATAATTTTATATAAGGAGATTTAGGAGAGAAGAATTTTATAAGTGGCAGAATGACTATCAGTCAAATCTTAATAGTGAGAAATCATAGGTGTATGTAAGGGTGTAATTTTTCTAAAACTAAGGTTATGCAGAGAATTAAATTATCAGGCTAAATGTTTCCAAATGCGTATTCATTAGCCTGAATCCTAGACTTCTCACTATTCTGGGCTTTCCTCTAAGGGGCTTGAAAATTCTAAATACGCCTCTTAAATTGTAGAGGTCTGAAATAAACACGTGACTTCAAGTGTGACCTGATCCGATCAGTGTCTAATTCTGTGGCAGGGACTGGCTAGTTGCTAATTGGACTCATTGTTTTCTTCTCCTTGGTACAGAATTAGACTAAATATGAGCCTATTTCCGAAGGCAGCTATGGCCACGGGACAAAGTTTTTTTTTTTTTTGAAACGGAGTCTCACTCTGTCGCCCAGGCTGGAGTGCAGTGGCGCGACCTCGGCTCACTGCAAGCTCCGCCTCCCGGGTTCACGCCATTCTCCTGCCTCAGCCTCCTGAGTAGCTGGGACTACAGGCGCCCGCCACCGCGCCTGGCTAATTTTTTTTTTTTTTTTTTGTATTTTTAGTAGAGACGGGGTTTCACTGTGGTCTCGATCTCCTGACCTCGTGATCCACCCACCTCGGCCTCCCAAAGTGCTGGGATTACAGGCGCGAACCACCGCGCCCGGCCCACGGGACGAAGTTCTAACCACTGGAGCATGCATACACAGAAAATATGCCACCTCCAGGCCTGGCCGGTTGAAACCTCCTGAGCGCCAGCCTCTGGTGCTTATTGTCTTGCTCTGAAATCATCTCAATCTCGGGAATCTAGAACAGGGTGGGCCTGGGCAGTAGAAGAGTCACTGGTGGAGAAGGTGTGGGTCCCGAGTCACTGACAGGACGAGAGTTTCCCAAAAGAACCACTTCACCAGAGTCACCTACATAAAAATTTTGTGTAAATGAGAAAGAAAGTTTTATTGTGCTAATTGATGGTTATTTTGGAATTGCTTATTTCAGCAATTAGCCTACTGAAGAACACACAAAGATTTTTCTTAATATAATCATTTCAGAAATATCCTTAGGATATCTATTTAGCACTGTACTTCTTATAAATTACAAATGCTTTTTGTCTTAGAGTAACTCACAATGTTATCTATTTCTTATAACCTGGACTTTGTAAGTACTATAAATGTGTTTAGATGGCTTTAGATTTTCAACTTTTAAAGTGAATAACCAGTACCAAGAATGCTCAATCAAAAAGCTTCAAGTCTTTATGGTATAAACTGATGTTGAACCAACACTGCAAAGTCCGTAATTTGCATTTGACTTTTTTGAGCCTAAATGCTATGCTACTATTAATAAATAATAAGGAATACTTTTTTATATTGCATTCTTTATTAAGGTATAATTTATATACTGTGAAATTCACCCTTTTTTATTCTCAGTTCTGTAAGTTTTGAAAAATGCATGTAATTGCATAAACATCACCACAATCAGGTTATATAAGAGTTTCATTTCCCCAAACATACCTTTGTGTTCCTTTGTGCTCAATTTATTTTCTTGGACATCACCCACTGGTGATCACTAATTAGATTTCTGTCTTTATATGCTTGCCTATGCAAAATATCATATACATGAAATAGTATAGCATGTAGCTTCTTTACTCTGACTTTTTTCCTTGCATAATGCATTAAGTTGCACTCATGATGTTACAAGTTACAGTAGATCATTCTTTTTTATTGCTGACTAATATTCTATTGTATGCATGCACAATATGTCAATTTGCTATTTTGAAGTACATTTGCATTGTTTCTACATTTTATAATTGTGACAAAAACTATTGTAAACATTCGAGTACAGATTTTTAGGTAAACATACGTGTTTATTTCAATTGGGTAAGATGAAATCTCCCATAGGAGTCGTATGGCTAGGCTATATGCCAAGAGCATGTCTATGTTCATAAGAAGGTGCTGAACTATTTTTAAATGTGATTGTACCCTTTGCATTTGCATCCATACTATCATATATTAGTTATTCCACATCATTTTCCACATTTACTATTGGTAGTTATTTATTATATTATTTTATTTCTAATTGACAATACTTGTATATATTTATGAGATACAATGTGATGTTTTGATATATGCATATATTGTGAAGTAATTAGATCAAGGTAATTAACATATCCATCCCCTCATACACTTATTTTTTGTGATGATAACACTTAAAATTTATGCTCTTAGCAATTTTGAAATATGCAATACATCATTATTAATTATAGTAATTATGCTGCGCAATAGATCTCAAAATGTATTCCTTCTGTCCATTGAAAACTTTTTACCCTTTCACCAATATCTCCTTGTTTCCCTCTGTACCCTACCCCCACCACAACCTCTGGTAACCATCATTATACTCTCTACTTCTATGAGTTCAACTTTTTAAAGATTTTTTTCAAAACTTTTATTTTAGGTTTGGTGGTACATGTGAAAGTTTGTTACATAGGTAAACACATGTCATGGGGGTTTGTTGTACATATTATTTCATCACCCAGGTATTAAGCCCCAGTACCCAATAGTTATCTTTTCTGCTCCTCTTCCTCCTCCCGTCCTCTCCTCTCAAGGAGACTCCAGTGTCTGTTGTTTCCTTCTTTGTGTTCGTAAGTTCTTATCATTTAGCTCCCACTTATAAGTGAGAATGTGCAGTATTTGCTTTTCTGTTCCTGAGTTAGTTTGCTAAGGATAATAGCCTCCAGCTCCATCCATGTTCCTGAAAAAGACATGATCTCATTCTTTTTTATGGCTGCATAGATGTCAAACTATCCCTGCAGACAACATGATTCTATATCCAGGAAACCACACAGTCTGGGACCCAAAGCTCCTCCAGCTGATAAACCACTTTAGCAAAGTTGCAAGATACAAAATCAATGTACAAAAATCACCAGCATTCCTATACACCAACAACAGCCAAACTGAAAGCCAAATTAAATTGCCACAAAAAGAATAAAATACCTAGGAATACAGCTAATCAGGGAGGTAAAAGATCTCTACAATGAGAATTACAAAACCATGCTCAAGGAAATCAGAGAACACACAAACAAATGGAAAAATATCCCAGGCTCATGGATAGGAAGGATCAATATCAAAATGGCTATGCTGCCCAAAGCAATTTACAGATTCAATGCTATTCCTATCAAACTACCAATGACATTCCTCACAAAACTAGAAAACACTATTTTAAAATTCATATGGAGCCAAAAAAGAGACTGAATAGCCAAGGCAATCCTAAGCAAAAGAACAAAGCTGGGGGCATCAAGCTACCCAACTGCAAATTATACTACAGGCAACATGTTGGTGAGGGCGTAGAGATAAAAGACCCTTGTACGCTCTTGTTAGGAATGAAATTTAATACAATTTTTGAAGTTAGACATTCTAATAGATTCATAGTAACATCTCATTGTGGTTTTAATTTGAATTTTTTTGAAGGACTAGTGATCATTGCACTCCAGCCTGATCGACAAGAACAAGACTCCGTCTCAAGGAAAAAAAGAAAAACGAAACAGTAATCCCATCATGAGGGCTCCACCCTCTGACCTAATTAACTCCCAGTGGTCTCACCTCCCAATACCATCACACTGTGGCATCAACATACGAATTTTGGGTGAACACCAATATTCAGTTCATAACAAGCATGGTTAGTTTTGTAAGAAACTGCCAAAGTGTCCTTCAAAATGGTAACATTTAGCGTTCGCACCAGCGCTGAATGAGTCTTCCCTTGAACTACATCTTTATCAGCATTTGATATTGTCAGTGTTCTGGATTTTGACCATTCTAATAGGTGCGTAGTGATATCTTGTGGTTGTTTTAATTTGCATTTCCCTTATGATATATAATGTGGAGCTTCTTTTCATATGCTTATTTGCCACCTGTATCTCTCCTTTGGTAAGTCAACTGTTAAGGTCTTTGTCCCATTATGTAATCAAGTTGTTTATTTTCTTATTTTTGAGTTTTGAGAGTTCTTTGTAGATTTTGGATTACAGTCCTATATCAGATATGTCTTTTGCAAATATTTTCTTTTTTTTCACAATTTATGAATTAAGTATATTTTGTCTATATTCAAATGAGGACATTAACATGAATTACAACATAAATGCACAGATATTTTCAGGTATGCTCATATTATGTTTCACATATTTTGTAATAACACAAGGCAGTAAAAAGAAGTTCAAATAATTTATTTCTTGGGTGCTTTCTTTAGGTTAGTTAAAACCTAACTTCCTAGTCTGTAACTGAGTCAGATACACAGAAAATAGCAGACCTGGGGAAAAAATGTTATTATTTTATTCAGTATAAGAACTTCAAAGTATGAACGCATTATTTTCCAAACTAAATAAAAGTATTTGAAAAATTAATATAGGCTGTATAAGCTTATATGACTTAGTCTTAATCATAAGGACCTTAACTTTTTACTCTGTAGGTACATTATATAAAAAACTAAGAGTAAATTTCGTGAGTTTTATAATTTTATTACATATTCTGTCTTAGAAAGGAACTAGATTTCCTTTCCTTTTTTATCCAATATAAGAGCAGAAACTAATCAGTTTTCTTGAGTGTTAAAGTAATAATTAGGGTCTATTTTAGGTATGGATTATTCTAGACATTTTCACATTTTTTATTGTTCTTAGTTATTTTATAGTAGAAATAACTATCACTATGCATGAGAAAGAGAGTGTTTTTCACTCAAGTGTCTCATTCTACAACTGCAGTTAATTTTACAAGGAAATAATTTGTCGTTTTCTAAAATGACCCTTTAAATGCTGCTGGCAAATATTTTATCCCAGTCTGTGTCTTGTCTTCTCATTCTCTTGACAGCTTATTTCACAGAACACAACATTTTAATTTTATTAAGTCCAGCTTATTAGTTATGTCTTTCATGGATCATTCCTTCGGCTTTCGTCTTGTATCTAAAGAGTCATTGCCAAACTCAAGGTCGTCTAGAATTTCTCCTATGTTATCTGCCAGAAGTTTTATATTTTTGTTTTGTTTCACATTTAGGACTATGATTCATTTTGAGTTAATTATTGTAAAGAGTGTAAGCTCTTTGCATGGATTCCCTTTTTTTTTTTTTTTTTTTTTGGCGTGTGGGTGTCCAGTTCTTCCAGCACCACTTGTTGAAAACACTGCCTTTTCTCCACTGTATTCCCTTTATTCCTTTGTCAAAGATCAGTTGACTATATGCATGTGGGTCAACTTTTGGACTCTCAGTTCTAGTCTATTGACCTATTTGTCTATTCTTTCATCAATACCGTCATTTTCTGATTACTGTAGCTTTATAGTAAATCCATACCAGGCAGTGTCAGCCTTCCAACTTTATTATTCTTCTTCAATATTGTTTTGGCTCTTCCGGGTCTTTTACCGCTCCATAAAAACTTTGGAATTAGTTTGTCAATATTCACAAATTAGCTTGCTGGGAATTGTTTGCAATTATATTAAATCTATGGGTCAATTTGAGAAGAACTAATATCTTGACAATATTGAGTCTTCCTATCTCTAAGCATGGAATTTCTCTCCATTTATTTAATTCTTCTTTGGTTTCTTTCATCAGAGTTTTGTTTTCTTCAAATATATCATGTACATATTTTGTTAGATTTGTACATATTTCTTTTCTAGGTGTAAATGTAATAAAATTGTGTTTTTAATTGCCATTCCACTTGAACATTGCTGATCTATAGAAAAGAAATTGACTTTGTATATTAGCCTTTAGTCACTTAGTTCTAGGAGTTGTTTTTTATTCTTTCAGATTTTCTGCATAGATAATTATGTCATTTGTGAGTGCAGACAATTTTATTTCTTCATTCTCAATCTGTATACATTTTGTTTCCTTTTATTGTCTTATTGCATGCGTTGACCAGGATTTTTGGTATGATGTTAAAAAGCAGTGGTGAGAGGGGACTTCCTTGTCTCGTACCTAATCTTCATGAGAAAGCTTCCATTTTCTTACCATTGAATATGAAGTTACTTGTAGGTTTTGGTAGATATTCTTTTCAAATCTAGGGAATCTTTGTAGTAAATCCATATCAGGCAATGTCAGTCTTCCAACTTTATTATTCTTCTTCAATATTGTGTTGGCTCTTGCGGATCTTTTACCTCCGCATAAAACGTATGGTTCCCTTCTATTCCTAGTTTACTGAGAGTTTTTTAAAATCATGAATAGGTGTTGAATTTTGTCAGTTTTTATTCTGCATCTATTTGTATGATGATGTAATGTTTTTTAAGCCTGCAGATGTGATAGATTGGATTAGCTGATTTTTAAATGTTGAGCCAGCCTTGCATACTGGGATAAATCCTACTTGGTCATATTGTATAATTCTTTTTATACATAGCTGGATTCAGTTCGTTAATATTTTGTTGAGGATTTTTGCATCAATGTTCATAAGAGATATTGTTCTCCAGTTTTCTTATAATGCCTTTGTCTCTTTTTGTCTTTGTATTTGGGTAATGCTAGCCTTATAGAATGAGTTAAGAGGAGTCCCTGTGCTTGTATCTTCTGAAAGCAAATTGTAGAGAATTGGTATATTTTCTTCCTTAAATGTTTGGTAGTATTCACCAGCAAACCCAACTAGGCATGGTGCTTTCTGTTTTAAAAGATCATTGATTACTGATTCAATTTATTAATAGACATAGGCCTATTCATATTTTATTTCTTCTTCTGTGAGTTTTAGCAGATTCTGTCTTTTAAGAAATTCATTGATCTAGGTTATCAAATACGTGGGCATAGAGTTGCTTATGATAGTATTCCTTGACTATCCTTTTAATGTCCCTGTCTTCTTTTTCATCCCTGGTATTAGCAGTTTTTGTCCTCCTTTTTTTTTCTTAATTAGCCTGGCTAAACACTTAGCAAAATTATTGATATTTTTAAAGACTGGCTTTTGGTTTTATTCCAGTTTTATTTTGATTTGTTATTTTCAATTTCATTGATTTCTGCTCAAATTTTAATTATTTGTTTTCCTCTGCTGAGTTTGAATTTAATTTGCTCTTTTCCTAATTTTCTAGGGTGGAAGCCTAGATCATTGATTTGGAAGTTTTCTTCTTTTCTAATGTATGCATTCCATGCTGTAAATTCCTCTTGAGCACTACTTTCACCGCATTTCACAAATTTTAACAAGTTGTGTTTTCATTTTCATTTAGTGAAATGTATTTTTAATTTCTTTCAAAATTTCTTCTTCGATCCATATGTGATTTAGGATCATGTTGTTTCATTTTCCCCATTTCACTTTTTCTTCCTGTCTCACTAGATTTTCATATCAAGTGCACATTGTTTATTATTCCATTTTATCATTGCTATTAGCTTATCTTTATACCACTCACGTTTTTTAGTGGTTACTCCATAGCTTACAATATACACTTTAATTAATTTGAATATAACTTAAATGATATGATATCCTTTCATGGGTAGCATATAACCTTCAAATAATATACTACTACTTGCTGCCTTACATTTGTATGCTATTATTGTCAGATATTTTACATTTACATTAAGCAATGAACACAAAGTACATTGCTATCATTTTTGCATCAGACAATTATCTTGTAGTGTGCTAAACATTTTCAAAATAAATTTTATGCTAATCTTCAATTTTATCATTTCCAGGGTTCTGTGTGTGTGTGTGTGTGTGTGTGTGTGTGTGTGTGTGTTTACATATCCAACTTTCTGTCTGCTATAATATTTCTTTTGCATAGAGACCTGTCATTGAAACTTCTCATTTAGGTCTGCTGGAAATGTATTTATTCAGTTTTTGTTTGTCTGTAGACGAATTTATTTCCCCTTTGTTTTCAAAAATGTTTTCTTTTTCTACATACAGAACTATTAGGTGATAGATTTCTTCTTCCTGCCTCAGGGTTTGAAAAATGTAACTCTATTGTCCTCTGGCCAGCATAGTTTCTAACAAGAAGTCAGCGTTGATTTGAATCTTTGTTCTTCTAGATATGATGTGTCTTTTTTTCTCAGCCTGCATTCAGAGTATCCACTTTATTTTTTGATTTTTGGCAGTTTGACTGTTATGTATCTAGGTGTTGGTTTATTTGTTTTTAGTTTTAATTTTTGAGCTTCTTGAAGTTGTGCTTCAATTTCTTTACTCATTTTTCTTAGCCATTATCTCTTTAAATATTAAAAAAAAAATTTTTCTAGGACTTTTCAGTTGCTTCCATGTTAGATTGTTTGATGTTGTCACAAAGTCCTCACCTGCTCTCTTCTCTTTCTATTTTTGTTGTTTTTTTCTCTTTGTGCTACTGTTTTGCCAATTTTTATTAATGCATCTTTAGACTCATTGGTTGTTTCTCAGCTCTGTTGAGTCTCTTATAAGCATTCTTCATTTCTGTTACTGTGTTCTTCATGTATAGCATTTTCATTTGATTCTTTTGAATAGTGTTTAATTATTTGCTGAAATTCCTCCTGCCTTTATGCAGAGTGTTTGTCTTTTCCACTAGATCCTTCAATTTATTAATGAGAGTTATTTTAAACCTCTGTGTATAGTTCCTTTTTAAAAGTCTGTGTCTGATTCTGTTTCTGTCCATTGCTTTTTCCAGTAACAGTGTTTTGTTTGTTTTTTTTTTCCATTTCTCAGATATTTATTTTGGTTGAAACCGCAACACTGTGTGTGTAGGACAGTAGACTCTGAGACAGATAGTATAATGTTTTGCAATGGGCATGTCTTTTCTGTTTATTCTGTAGTGCTGTGTGTGTGGGGTGTGGGCATCAATGCAGTCATGAGTTAAGCAGGGTTTGAGTTTTGTTGCGTGGTTATCCTCAGTGAGTGCACCAACAAATCTAAATTTTTGTAACAAATTTTACCTAGGGTGGGATATTCAATTATCGAGAGATTTTGCAACATTGCTGTTCCACCCTCAGTTTTAAGCTCTGCCTATGAGACTACATATCAGAGAGTATGTCCTTCCATGCGCTGCCTCTCTCCCCATAATACACTTCTGTTATTTGTTCTTTGATTTTTACTAGCCTGGTGATGGAAGGGGAGGGTTTATTCTCCATTTTTCTCATTCTATCTGAATCTTAGAAACAACTTTTGTCCTTGTGCGATAGAGTTAAGGCTTTCTCGGTGATCTTGTCTCACCTTCAGCCTTAGGAGACAGCTCATGCTCTGAACCTAGAATGGTTTTCTGCCCCACAGAAACTCCAGGGCTAGCAACTTTTTTCAGTTTTCTTCCCTCAGCAATGAGTCTTCATCTTTCTCTAGGAAAGAACAGAGTTTTTGCTCTTTCTCCAGTGGCTCAGTGTTTTGTTCACCAAGGAAGGCAGACTTGGTAGGAGGGAGAGTGTTTTCTGCCTCCTATAGTAGACGTTGCTGTCTTTCCCTAGACCTGCACGATGAAGGAAGCTTTTTCTAGTTTTCCACCCTCCTCCAAACATTCTTGTTAAGACTGTTTAAAGTCTGAGGAGAAAATCTTGAGTATAAGTATGAACTCCTTTTCTATTTGTGGTTCCTCCCTCTCTACACTCATAGTACTCCTCACTTAGCCTTTAGCATTTTAGCAAAGCAGTTCTTCCCGGTTCGTATGTTGGCCTCACTTTTCTCCCATGCTCTGGCCTAGATAAGGCAGAGCTCATTTCCTGTGTCTCTTTGGAGGTATCTATCTTTCCTGAGTTTTCATGCTTGTAGGTTTCCCTGCAACTTTAGCTCTCTAATGAATTCAGAAATAGTTATGACTTTGTAGATTATCTGGCTTCTTCCTATTTAGAATGGAAGCAATGTTCTTTCTAGCTTTCTATAATCCATATAGACTCTAGACTAGAAGAAACTCAGTTATTTTTAAGGTCTGTTTTAACAGATAAAGCATAAGTGGGTAAATGTGTGCTAATTTTCAGCTAAATTCTTACAGCCATAGAATTTTTCCAGTATGACTCAAAGAAAATGTACTATCAACCATTTCAATTCTATGTGGGTATTTAGAAACTGGGGAGAAGGATGAGAAGAGTATTTACTTTTTCTCTTTATTGCCTGGAATATCACAGAACCTTTGTCAAAGTCATCCAGTGCTATAATATCAGAAGCTATGATAGTCTGATGGAATGAAGTAGTGATGTTACAGTGGGTAAGTATAGAAGATTTAGTAACTAAGTAAAGGATATCAGGGAAATAGATGAGTTGGCACGTGGATGATAGAATTCATCAACACGCGGGGGAGTAGTTAAGCAAAAGCATGAGTGAGTTTTGAGATGATGATAGTTGTACAATGAGTGCACAGGTAGATGGTGGTGCTGAGGAATTCCCAGGCATTTGACTGGGTAGCTGAATGATTAATGTATTAATAATTCACTTAAAAGGTGCTTGAAGGCCAGGCACAGTGGCTCACACCTGTAATCCCAGCACTTTGGGAGACCTAGGCAGGTGGATTGCTGAGCTTAGGAGTTCAAAACAAGCCTGGGAAACATGGCAAAACACCATCTGTATGAAAAATACAAAAATTGGCTGGATTTGGTGGTGCATGCCTGTAGTTCTAGCTACTTGGGAGGCTGAGGTGGGAGAATCACCTGAGCCTGGGAGATTGAGGCTGTGGTGAGCTGTGATCACACCACTGTACTCCAGCCTGGGCGACAGAGTGAGACTCTGTCTGAAAAAAAAAAAAAAAAAAAAAACTCATTTAAACAAACCCAGTAAAAAAAAAGGGGGGGGGTGCTTGAGGCATAAATAATATGTCAGAATGGTAACATGACTCTGTTCTTTCAAAATTGCATCAAACCTCTTCCTAGGTATTAAAAATTTAAAGAGATATAGAAAGTTAACCATTCCATGTTAAGGATTGTATTAGGCTGTTCTTGCATTGCTACAAAGAAACACCTGAGAGAGGGTAATTTATAGAGAAAATAGGTTTAATTGGCTCATGGTTCTGCAGGCTTTACAAACATGGCACCAGCATCTATTCGGCTTCCAGGGAATCCCCAGGGAGCTTTTACTCATGGTAGAAGGCAAAGTGGGAGAAGGCACATCGCATGGAAAAAGGAGAAGCAAGAGAGAGAGATTGCGGGTGGGGAGGTGCTCACAGTTTTTTTTTTTTTTTTTTTTTTTTTTTTTGGAGAGACGGAGTCTCGCTCTGTCGCCCAGGGTACAGTGCAGTGGCGCGATCTCAGCTCACTGCAACATCCGCCTCCCGGGTTCAAGCAATTCTCCGGCCTCTGCCTCCCGAGTAGCTGGGATTACAGGTGCACGCTGCCACGCCCAGCTAATTCCTTTTGTATTTTAGCAGAGACAGGGTTTCACCGTGTTGCCCAGTCTGGTCCCGAACTCCTGAGGTCAGGCAATCTGCCCGCCTCGGCCTGGCCTCCCAAAGTGCTAGGATTACAGGCGTGAGCCACCGCGCCCGGCCCCCACACTTTTATTTTATTTTATTTATATTTATTTATTTTTTTGAGACGGAGTCTCTCTCTGTTGCCCAGGCTGGAGTGCAGTGGCGCGATCTCAGCTCACTGCAAGCTCCACCTCCCGTGTTCACGCCATTTTCCTGCCCCGGCCTCTGAGTAGCTGAGACTACAGGCGCCCGCCACCACGCCCGGCTAATTTTTTGTATTTTTAGTAGAGACGAGGTTTCACTGTGTTATTCAGGATGGTCTGGATCTCCTGACCTCGTGTTCGCCCCGCCTCGGCCTCCCCAAAGTACTGGGATTATAGGCGTGAGCCACCGTGCCCGGCCCGCCCCCACACTTTTAAATGACCAGATCCTGTGTGAACTCAGAGAGAGACCTCACTTAACACCAAGGGGGATGACTCAAGCCATTGATGAGGGATCCACTCGCATGATCCAAACGCCTCCCACAAGGCCTCACCTCCAAAATTAGGGATGACAAGTCAACATGGGAATTGGCGGGGACATACATTCAAACTATATCAAGGATTTTGGATAAACTTTTGCTTTCTTTTCTTTCACCCTGTAGATCGTAAGACTTTCTTTATGTAGGTCTTATTGATAGTCTTAGCTCTTAATTAAAATCTTAAAATAATGCGATGCTGTTAGTATTGGAACTTAACACCATGAAAATATACTTAGTTTTCTATCCACACTTGCAATGGTCAGGGAAACTCTTTGCACAAAACTCTGGGGGTTGAAGCACGATTCTCTTATCTATAGACAGAGGTAAGGGCATCCTAGTGCCAAATATAAAAATTGGCTTGGTTCACCAGGTATGGATGGAGACCCATAACTGCTCATTGGAATAGGGGCTTTGAGGGCTAAAACTCAAGTTCAAGCTACAGGAGAACATCTTAAATCTCACAAAGCTGGCTTCTGTGACTTTTTAGAGTGATCTAAGGCTTCAGTGGAGTTTTTGAGGGGAGAGGGATGGAGGAGCACAGCTTTCCATAGGGACAGGAAGGGCCGCATGGAGGCTCTGCTCTGGAGAACTGGGAGTGGTGACAATTAGCACTCTAATGCATGAAGCTCCTGAGGGAACTCTCTCAGCCCTTCTGTGCAAAGTCAGCCACTAACACACTTCCGTAGGTCTGCGGATCAGCCAATTTGAGGGCGTCTATGAAGTTCCTCCCAGTAGTTTTTCTCTCAATCTAAACTAGTCTCAGGTGATTTCTGAGCCCCTGAGTCCGAGGAGTCTGGGATCCTTAAACTCCATCATCCATCATTTTGTTGGAGGAGAGCATTCTTTACAAAACAACTTAAACGTTTACTGAAATAGGTAAGTCCACTTTTTCAGGCTCTGATGAATATTTTAGACCTCTTAATAGAAATTTCAGCAGAGGGTGAGTGTCAAGAGAAGTTTATAGAGAGGTAGAAGTCATTCTTACATGCAATTTTAGGAAGTTTGGATCAGAAATATGAACCACGAATGATGAAATCGTCTCACCCTAAGTATTGAAACAAATGTAATAAAATAATTTTGTTTTCCAGAAGCTGGAGAACTAACTACACTTTCATTTTATGGGTTTCTCAATTTCAATCTTTATTACTAGTAGAAAAGAAGAGAGAGTGAAAACAGAGGTTGGGGAAGAAAATAATTATTAATTTTTAAATAGAGATACCATGGATGAATTCTACATTATTTTTGGGAAAGACACTTAGAGGAGAAACTCGTAGCTATAAAACTTTTACTTAGATGTTGATTGATATCCATGAACATGTGGCAGGAATATATTACCTTTCCAAATATGTATATTTCCAGATAAATTGTCAATTGTTTTAATGTCTTTTCTCTCAATTATTTCCCTAAGAGTATTTTGATTTTAATTTTCCTTTCTATGATGGAAATTTTAAATGTAAGATGATGAAATAAATTGATAGATGTCTACAGCTCTCAGAATATGAACTGGTACTACAGTTGATGCCCCTGACTCAGGCTTCGTTAATCTAGAGTGTGTTGTAGAGTTGAGACTATTGATAGTCACTGTTGAGACTATCCAGACTAAGGAAATTATGTGCAAAAGAATACCCTAGACTTAGATATAGAAGAGAGGAGATATAAAGAAGATGAGCATTTACAGAATGAAACCATGATAAAACATATCGGCAAAGGCGAATTTTAGGATTGCACCATATTTGAGACACTGGGTCTAATAATTGGACTCAGATTATATGAAAAGTCAACCAAATCAAGACAGGAAATAGACAACAAGGTCTCAAAGAAGAAAGACTAATTGTCTTCTCAGGATATCTAAAACCATCTTTGAGATCTCACCCACCCAGTGGCACTTGGGTTCTGGGTGTCCAAATGTTAGGATGATGGAAATACTTCTGCCCATGATGGATGCATTCAGCGTATACAACCAAGTGCTCAACCGCAGGTCAGATGCACCTTCCTCTAAATGAAATGAACATTTCTAATGACAGCCCAAGTCTGTAAAGGAAGGTGTCTGGTTTATTTAGAGCAGCATGAAAGAAAAACGTATGTTTTTTTGTGGGACTTAACCTTCATGTGCTCTGTTGAATACAGAGTATTCAGAGCTCTATTTGCCTCAGCTAAGATTGTAGAGGACTCCAATAAGAAGGGCAAATAGGATTAAAACTCAGTGGAGTATTAGAATCATGGTGTACTCATTTTCTGGAGAGAAAGTTTTTGGCTTTTTAGTCCTTAGCTTTAGGGAATTATCACTATAATGAATAAGAGAATATTGGTAATATGCCCCGAAGCCTCAGTATGTCTCAGAATAAATTTACAAGGCTCTTACAAGGTTTTATTTAACCATGCACTCTTTGAATTGATGTAAATATTGGAAAGGATTATATTCAGAAATATATTTTTGGAATGTGAGACATTGAGGAATGCTTTTCTGGCGTGCATACCTCCTGAGTCTTTCCAAGTCAACACTTCCCTCTTCCTAATATGGAGGAAAAGGGAGAAGTTAATGTCTTAAGCCAGCCAGTCAATAGAGGTAGAAAATTATGTTAGATACTTTAAAATGTATAATACACTGACTGGGGTAGGATAGCAAATCATGGAACTCAATGTTGCGAATGGAAAATATACCTAGGTGTCAAGCCCTGGACATTTGATTCCTTGCAAGAATAAATTGAATATATTTCAGTCTTGGTCCACAGAGTAGCAATGGAATTTAAATGCAATTAAAAATAATAAAACAAAAATGTGAACAGCAGCACGTGAAGACATTTCCAGAGCCCCACAAATTATGATCCTGTCTGCGTGGCACCAACACAGTGATAAGTTCTGTCAATGCCTGATTGATCTTTAACTATGGGTCTGGCTTCTCATCTTTTACTTGATGAACAGTGGCTCATGGTTCCTCCAACGTCTTCTCATTTCATTAAAGCAGCAATAGGGGGAGGATGTGGCAAAAGGCTGAAAAGGAACTTTAGGGGAGAAGTCATTGTTGCTTGGGGCTGTACCCTTTCTTCTCAGCATTCTGCAGAGCTGTAGGGAGCTGAGCATGGATGGCACCCCCATCTCGGAGATCAACTCTTCAGGGTTAAATAAAATTCTAACAGACTAGTTGGCGGAATGATTGCATAATTTCAAAATACCAGATGTTTACAACAAATATTAACATATATCACTGCCTAAGAATTTACTATGAGTAAGATATTTAACTTCACTTAAGATCTTGCCTTTCCCTGTGTTCTTTTTAAGAAGGGGAGAGGAAAAGGCAATTTTAGAACAGGGGCCACATCTGCTGGAAGGCAGGCCTGAATATAGAGAGCTACAGAGACTTGCATGGAGCTTTTTGGCTCATAGATAAGGGGTTAGAATATAAATTCAGAGAAAGGAAGGCAGGAACGTCTATATAGCCCAATTTTATCTACCCCATCCAGATAAAGGCTAGTCCAGGTTTGAACATCTGCTAACATGGTTCTGTGAATTTTTCACTCTTCATCTTCTTCAGGTGACATATATTTTCAGTCAAAGATATTATAAGATGGTAGTCGATTGAAACAATAAGAAAAAGAGTAATGGGTGAATTTACCGAGATAGGATAGGTTGAAAAAGAACATTTAATTTGTTGCAATTTAGATTTAATTTTTATAATAAAGAAAATAGATTCCATGGAATCAATGAATTGATTTGCTTTACTAAAGAGAGATCTTGACTGATTGAAATTTAACTGTTAAATTAGAGTTTTTTTGTTATGTAAAATGAACTGTGTGAGGAATCTAAACACTTATTTTTTTGTTCTTTCTTTGTCGTTGATAGAAGAATATTTCAGTCCTGATATTTGCTGTAACTAATAATTACTGGATAAACAGAGAAGACACATGGAGGATATTTTACCTGGGTCCAACAAAAGTAATTTTGTTTTATTTATTTGTTTGACAAATAAAAATTGTATATATTTATGGCATAGATTTTAAGAAATCTTGTTACAAAAATAATATGTATGTGATGTGATGCATATATTAATTAGCTTAACTTAGCCATTCCAATAAAGGTAATATTTATCTAGAAAATTTTGAGCTTTGCTATTCATACCTCTTCTCTGATTTTTTTCCTGTAATTTTCAGGTTATTTACATCTAAAACTCCAGCTTTTACTATTATGTGATGTAAAGGATCAGTGTAAGCTGTTATACCAGTTGATAATGTTTAGGTACTTTATATTATAAAAGTTTCATTTAGCATTATTGCATTTTTAAACATTTCACAAAAAAGGACAATGTGCAACATAAATGTAATACATTTCAGGAATTAGAGACAGGGCTTTAAAAAAGATAATCATTCACAGAATATTTCAATAGCACCTGTCTTACTATATCACACATTGTTTTCTATTTCTTATGGTCACAGTGATTATCCTACATTCACCCCAATTCATAAAACACAGGAAGCAGTAATTCCTTTTTTCATTGTGATCCTGTTTATGGAGGTGAACCACAGGGTATGCCATTTTTCAGTACTGTGTTCTGAGCAGGCAGCGTGAATTGGTTATTTTCAATGGTCAAAAGAAAGCTCAGAACACATATAGAAAAAATTGATTTGATGTTTGTTGAGTATGAAGATGATATAACTCTAAGAATGTAAAATAGAATTTTATTGCTTACTAAAGCAACATTAGATGCCTGGCAAAAAGGTAATGTTGTTGGTGTTGGACAAGTACTGTGAAGAGCACAAAAGTCACACTTGTACACCACAAAGAGCTAAATAGGACTATTAGCTGTGTTCATTGTCCAATACTGGTTTTGTAACTTGGCTGCATGCTTGTATTAAGAGGTTTTGGTAGTTGTGTTTGTACAGACAAATTGAAGAAATATTCTCACATTTTTTCCTTAGTTAGTTGACCTCAATGAATGTCACCGGTGTAGGGAAAGTATAGATTCCACAGATTAGAGCAGTAAAGATCAAGCTCTGGCTTCCTATAGAAGTGGTTGGATATGAAGCATGTTACCTGACACCTAGTCCATTCACCTTGATATAAGAATAGAAAGCCAGTTATATTTAGCTGGAAGGTGAGCCCAGAATAATATGGAGATGGTTTTAACTGAAGGTGCATTAAAATCATCTGGCTCATACATATTTCCTCCTTCAACTGGCTTTCCAAATGCAGATGATATTTACATTTTCTTTGTCTAACATCAGTCCATAAACATTCGAAACAAGATATATTTTTTGAATATTAATTATTTTGAAACCCACAATAGCCATGGAAAAACACAGCATACTTGATGGGTTAACATATCAGTGAAAGATATTTAAGTATTAGCAGCCTATTTTAATAAAAGACTGCTGGAAAACACAAGGCATGATAATAAATGCTATAGTTAATAAAATAAAGTTAGTCATAGAAGAAGAGCAGATTATGGATTGGATGAAAAGTATTCTGCCCAGGATAAACTTAAATCTTTACACACTTAGACATTATAGATCTTTTTGTGCTTAAAAAGGACATAAAAATTTGTATTTTATATAATTAACTTGGAGGTTAGAGTGTAGGATTTTGGGAGTGAATGGAAGTTACATTAGGGAAATTTACAAGTAAGGTCTGGCAACTCTAGCAGATGGGAATAAAGAGGGAAAAGGTAAGTGTGGCTGAGAGTAAGGAGGAGATGGGGGAGATATATAATAAAGGAAGAGAATGTATTCTGTGGCATACAGAAGAAGAGGGAAAAATAAAAGATGATTCATTGAGAGAGTAGGAGAAATCTAATTCTGCCGATAGTAAAAAAGAACTCAGGAGGGAATTTCATTCGTGGATAGAGGAGTACAGGCATTGGTGAGATATTTAGGAAACATTCATTCAGCTTTTCTGGAATACACTTGGAGCTTTGAAGAGAAATCTAGAAGGTAAATGTAAAATTGAGAGTGAGCCATATAGAGTTGATAGTAATTATTATAGCTAGAAATAAAAAGACTTCCAAGAAAAACTGTAGAAGTTGAGTACAAGTTCTGAGCACAGAACTTTAGCAAATGCTCATACAGCAGAGCAGGAGAAGGAGGAAGGTTAAGAATGGTGACAAGGCAAATTCGATTGGAGGAAAATCAGGACAGAAGTCCATGACAGAGTTGAGAGTTTGAAGGAACAAATAGGTAACATTGTTAAAAGCTAAGTAAAGAATGCAAATAGAATAAAAATATCTCTGGAACTGATGATGGCAGGTTATCAGTAACCTTTAAGTTTTCAAATTCTAAAGATTAGTGAGGGTAGAAATGTTTACAGTCTCAGGAATAAATATTAGGAAATAAATCCAGACAATGGATTCCAATCATTAGAGATGTGAAATGAAGGGGTATTTAGAATGCTATATACACAGTAAAGCTTCCTAAATTGAGATGCCTGTATATTTTCTTTTATAATGAGGGAGAAGGAGTTACTCAGGAACAAGAGGAACCTGAGGATAGTAGAGAGGGAGAGTAAATGAAGAAAGAATATTCTGAAAGAGAGCATGAAGTCAAGACTAAGGATCATCAGTAAACAATGGACACCTGCCTGTTTCGGCACTTCTGTAGCTTTAGTCCTTCAATTCCTTTAATTTCATCAAGGACCCTTCAGCTGGCCAATATCAGGCACATTTCACACATGAAGAAAATGAGGCTTAGAGAAGCTAAGTATCTTGCTCCAAGTCTCAGGAAGCAGAACAAACACATGTGTATCTAAAACAGGAGCTGTTAGACTCTGAAGTTCACACTTTCTCTGAGATGAGACACTGTCACTCATTTGTAATGTGACAAGGACTTAGTGGAGAGACATGTTGGGTGGCTGAGAGGAGCACAGTGAGTCATGGGCTTGCAGGGTCTCCAGTGCGGCAGAGGAGCAAATGATACGGTGAAGATCACTGTGTCTTTTCCCTCATGATAGGTCAGCTCTCCGTGAAAATTAAGGGTAATATTCACCCTAAAAATCCATCATCTAACAACGATGACACTTTATAGGTGTTTGCCAAGTTAATGGAAAAATGTCTAATTCAGATGCAAATCTGGAATCTAGTCAACAATAGTTGACAGGTTTTCTTTTAGTGAAATGTTTTTGAGGTTTTAGAATTTGAATTTGAATGTCTCTTTGAGGAAATCAAACGTATTCTCAGCCTCATTATGATTTTAGAAAAGCACCCTGAGGGGTGCTGGTGGGAGCATCAGGACAGAGCAGTAAAGGAGGAAATGTTGGAGAAGGAAGGTCTTGAGGAGGACATTAGGGAGAGTTTAGAAAAAATGGTTGTGAACTATGAAAGGGATGAGTATTTCTGGAACTACATGTTTTGCTTAATCCTTTATCACATAAGAGAGTTGAAGTATTGACAGTCTTTCCCTTGCGAGTAAGAGACCCTAGTCTGTCTGGACCTGTTTCTGTCCTTAATGCCTCCTGCCTCATTTGTTTCCTACTTTCCCTTATTGTGAACACTGCAATAAAAAGAACGCTTATGAAGAGGCAGACATGGAATAAGAAGGAATTGGTTCTATTTTTTTTTTACAATGTAATTTGTTTTTATTTATGTTCAAAATTGATGCTATAACATTAGTTTTACTGACAAAGCACTTGCTGAGCAAAAGTAAGAAGGGAATCTCCATTCCAATGTACATTCAAGTGAATTCATATCTCCTTCTCTGTCTTGGACAATGAAGAAGGGTACTTAGACATCTGCTTTCTCTTCCTCCCTTGTATCTAAAAAGCCTAAGCATTCATATGCATGTTTATTTTCTTTGGCAGCCATAGCAACAGCAGCAAGTTGAAAAGAGCAAAAAAAAAAAAAAGAGAGAGACCGAAGTACAATTACAATCCCATCCCACAAAAAGGTCAAGGGCTACCTGAAAGACCGGTGGCCCCAGGATCCTCAAAGCATCCAAACCATCCCTATACTCTCAGGTATGTTACAGATTGTCTCCAATTTTATTTGTATCTGAATTTGTGGAGAGGATGCAGGGAAAATCGTGTTTGTTGGCTTACCTGTCCCAACACAGAGATCATGTTACTACTAAAATCCATGATTCTAGAGTTGTATTACCAGTAACAGTTCAAAAAGTACTTTCCCCATATGTTATTGATAGTAATTATTATAGCTAGAAATAAAAAGACTTCCAAGAAAAACTGATGTTAAATGAACATCAGTTCAAAGAAACTTTGATGTTAAATATACTCGTGAGTTATGTAATAATGTCCTCTTGTATATATAATGTTTATCAATAAACCAACATCATGAATCTGCCTAATAAAATAAGGTTTAAACGTAGGTTTCCAGTTCCAGATTTTTCCTCCAGGCCTTGCTTCTTCCAAATCTTTCCTTTTGTAGTAGATTTACACATTTCATCAAGATGAGTCTAGTTGACATGTTTAAGGTAATTTGTTAACTTTCCAACCATATTCTTCTTCACTGCTTATCATTTTACCGCTGGTTGTCATTTGCAATTTTCTCCTTGCCCTGGAATCTGAAGTAAGTTGGTGAAGATGTAGAATTCCTAATGTTGCAATGCATTATTTCCAGGATTTAACTGGCTTCCCTGATATCAAATTGTGTCTTGTAAAGGCCATAGTTTGTCTCTCTGATGCAAAGTAAATATAATGCATGTTGGGTCAAGACTCTCATTTTGGCCAATAAATGATCTAAAATACCTGCCTAGGGCTGGCTGGCATGTACAGAATGCATTCAAACAAGTAATTCTTATAGTTATTCAACAGCTTCTGTTTTTTTCTGACTCCCTTCACAGATTAATAATCCTTGAATATTTTAATGGGAACAGATAACCAGACTTGGGTGAGTGAATTTATTCTCCTCGGCCTGTCCAGTGACTGGGACACTCGGGTCTCCCTGTTTGTCCTGTTCTTGGTCATGTATGTGGTGACCGTGCTGGGGAACTGTCTCATTGTCCTTCTGATCAGACTGGACAGCCGACTCCACACTCCCATGTATTTCTTTCTCACCAACCTCTCCCTTGTCGATGTCTCCTATGCCACAAGTGTAGTCCCTCAGCTGCTGGCACATTTTCTTGCAGAACATAAAGCCATCCCATTCCAGAGCTGTGCAGCCCAGTTATTTTTCTCCCTGGCCTTGGGTGGGATTGAGTTTGTTCTCCTGGCGGTGATGGCCTATGACCGCTATGTGGCTGTGTGTGATGCCCTGCGATACTCGGCCATCATGCATGGAGGGCTGTGTGCTAGGTTGGCCATCACATCCTGGGTCAGTGGCTTCATCAGCTCTCCTGTGCAGACTGCTATCACCTTTCAGCTGCCCATGTGCAGAAACAAGTTTATTGATCACATATCCTGTGAACTCCTAGCTGTGGTCAGGCTGGCTTGTGTGGACACCTCCTCCAATGAGGTCACCATCATGGTGTCTAGCATTGTTCTTCTGATGACACCCTTCTGCCTGGTTCTTTTGTCCTACATCCAGATCATCTCCACCATCCTAAAGATCCAGTCCAGAGAAGGAAGAAAGAAAGCTTTCCACACGTGTGCCTCTCACCTCACAGTGGTTGCCCTGTGCTATGGTGTGGCCATTTTCACTTACATCCAGCCCCACTCCAGTCCCTCTGTCCTTCAGGAGAAGTTGTTCTCTGTCTTTTATGCCATTTTAACACCAATGCTGAACCCCATGATTTACAGCCTAAGGAATAAAGAGGTGAAGGGGGCCTGGCAGAAACTATTATGGAAATTCTCTGGGTTAACATCAAAGCTGGCAACTTGACTCATGAGTATGACTTAGAGAAAACAGCTTTGCCTCAGTGTTCTCCACCCAGCTGAGATCTGACAGGTGTAAACTACATTGCCCTGGCAACCAGGAAGGAGATGACGTAGCATGTACTGTGGATGTTATGGAGGAGGGGGAGTGGTTCAATTGGATGGGGTGTGGGACGTGGGGTTATATTTATGAACAGTGGAGTTAGATACTGCTGTTATAAAACCTCCCACACTTCTTCCACCTCCACTCTTACAGCCTGACAATCGTTGAAAAAAAATTACTACTTACTGTTTTGATTTGTCATATCGTTTGTAATGATAGACCTACTCATGGATCTTACCTTGGACCACTGGTACTTACACATCCACATTTTATAAAAGGTTATGGGGCTTCCATTGAAAACAAAATGCATTTTTACATTTGAAGACTCACTTTAAATAATTTGTAGTGTATGTCATCACATGCAGTAATTGTGTGAGTCAACATTCTGAGAAAAGTGTTATTGTCAAGGCTGACTAAAATGTTTTTGTGCAGGACCTACAAAAGGTGAACATAATGTCTTCTCCTGAGTGCTGGAGCTAATTCAGTGAAAAAATATCAACTCAAGGTCTTGTTTCACCTCGATAGGGTGACAGTCAATGGTTGTTTGTACTGAAGACAATTATTGACCAAGAAAAGTTAAGCTTCAGGTGCTTCTTGACAGTATTCAAACAGTTTGAGAAGGATTTTACTGCATATATAGGTATATCGTTGAAAATATTAAAAATGATCAATCTCTGAAAAATCTGTAAGCTCTTTCTCAGAATCTTCAGAAACACACAAAAAAGCACACAAATTATGAGATACTGTGAAAAATGTCAAAGACATAGTTAATTTAAGGAAAAACTCTTCAGCCAAAGTCAATGAAGGGTAAGATAATTTAATATGAAGTTTGGAACGTCAAGGAAGGTCAGTCAACTATGCAAATGTTACCCTCAAGTCTTCACATTGAGAACTTCTCTTGCCACCTCCGTCTTCGTCACCTTCACACACACAACAGAGCCATAGGTGAATTTTTGTAAATCTTGTAACCTGGGCTTGTCTGAGAATGGACTTCCCTTTGAAAAGGAGCATAACTGATGTAAAAGGAGAAGACATAATTGAAAAAGTGGAAAGAAAAGAAAGAATATGATCATAGCTGCTCTTCCTACTCCCTTGAAGGAGTCAGTCTTTTCTTCCTTTTGTGTCTTCTTTAAGTCAGTTGATTTGCAGTTCTTACATTTGTCAACACATCATCATAGAATCTAAGAGTTTTTACAGTGTTGAAGGCATATAACTCAAAGCCCATTTGACATCTGAATTTTATATTAATAGTAATGCAATCTTAAATTTTGCAAGATAGGCAGGCATCCTAAAAGATGACAATGCTGGCAAATTAAATTTTTATTTTAAGTATTATCAGTGGAGTATCTATTCTGTGTCAGTGTCAATAAATGGTTGTTGCACACAATAGTCAATATGATACCATCATAACAAGGATAATCTCACATAGTAGGGAGGACAGATGATGAAACAATGATAATGCATTGTGGTAAGTGTTACAGTGAAGGGGAGCCCACTGGAAATGATTGCAGAAGGCTTCCTATAAAAGGACCCTTGGATTGAGACCAGAAATGTAAGAACAAGTTATCCAGAAGACAAGAAACCCAAAAAAGAAACAACCTGTACAAAGTTGTAGAGATGTGAGCAAGCATGAAAGTCCAAAAAATGTTGGAAGTTCAATTTCAGGGCAGAGAAGAGTGAGAGAGTAGTGAGGACGAAGCAGACGGGTTAGACACGGTCAGATCCTGGAAGGCGTCGAATGTCTAAGTATCTTTTAACTTTATTCTAATAGAAAACAATAGTCCGTCAAAAATTTTTAGAAGGAGTATAGATTGAAAACAATTACATTTTAAAAGTATCACTCTGGCAAATGAGATAGTGGAAGAAAAGATTAGAGGCAAGATGACCAGCCTGTCTGCTGGGTCTGCTTCAGTAATACTCTTGAGACATTCGAGACATCTGAATTAAGTTAGATGCAATTGGAAGGAGACAAGTAAAGTGGTGTCATTTAAAAGTGATGTCAGCTAAAACACTTCATCTCCCAGATTGGAAATGCCATCTGAATATCATTCCTCTTCTAAAATGTGAGGATGCTGTCTGAACATTCTGTAAATTGTGTAGTAAACTGGAAAATTCACCATCGTGAACATGCTCTATATGAAATGGTATGGGAAAGAGATAAGAAGAAAGTAATCAAAAATACAAACATACACATAATACATCAAGGAGGAAAATACGTGAAGATGCTATATCTTCATTTCTGCCAGCGGTCGTGTGGTCACGGTGTTCGTGACATTTCTCCATCAACCATCACACAATCCTTTGCCTTCAAACAACTCCTAAGCATGTTGGGGTTCTTCCTGGAAGGGTTATCCAAGTCTTGATATCTCAGGAAGCAGAAATGCTGAGAGTGGGCATTAGGTATGTAGAAATAGACTACTATAGTCTCATATTCTGTATTAGTCAGGTTTCTTTAGAGAGACAAGACTAATAGGATAGATGAATATATGAAAAGGAGTTTATTAAGGAGTATTGACTCACACGATCAAAAGGTAAAGTACCACAATAGGCCTTCTGTAAGCTGAGGAGCACAGAAGCCAGTTGGAGTTCCAAAACCTCAAAAGTAGGGAAGCCAACAGTGCAGCCCTCAGTCTGTGGCCAAAGGCCCGAGAGCCCCTGGTCAACCACTGGTGTAGGTCCAAGAGTCCGAAAGCTGAAGAAATTGGAGTGGAGTCTGATGTTTAAGGTCAGGAAGCATCCAGCACAGGAGAAAGATAGAGGCCAGAAGACTCAGGCAATCTAGTCCTTCCATGTTCCTCTGCCTGCTTTTATCCTAGCCATGCTGGCAGCTGATTAGATGGTGCCTACCCAGATTGAGGATGGGCCTGCCTCTCCTAGTCCACTGACTCAGATGTTAATCTCCTTTGGCATCACCTCCATAGACACACCCAGGAACAATACTTTGTAACCTTCAATCCAATCAAGTTGATGGTCAATATTAACCATCATATATTCCATCTATTAAATTTCAATTTTTATCTTTTTTATTTGATAGAGTTTTTAATTTCAAGGCTGCACTTTCTCGGTAACTTTAATCTTCATAAATTAAATTAGTTGGATCACCTTAAGACTACACACACTTCTAATTCATAGCTGCTTGTGAAGGACATTCCCAATAGAAGGCATGAACATTGTCTTGATACAGGAATACAAAATAAGATGCTATTCTAAACTTTATTGTTTATTTAGCCATTAAATAGAAAAAATTTAAAAAGACACTGAAAAGTATTTGAAAATAAAATATTTTTCATTAGTTAATAACCATAAAAACACCACTGAAGGTTTTCCTTAAAAATCTAATACATATAAAAATTACAGTTTGTTCAAATAAGAATCTAAATAAGACCCATATATTCCAATTGTCTACTATGCCTCTGAGAATTCTTTTACTCTATCAATTAATAAATTTATAGTAAATTAGTAACCTATAAATTCTACTTTTTTACTGTTGGAATTATTTTTTAAATAAAACTGTATCATTTGTTCCTGTTGGATTTCTCATACAGTCTAGATTTTTTGATGACATCCCTATAGTGTAATTTTACATGTTATTTTATTTCTGTATCTCCTGTTTAATCCAGAGGTTTCATCAGGTTTATTTTTTTTTATGACAATGGTATTTCATAGATGGTCACATGTACTTCTAGCAAGAAGCACACAATGTTTGTAGCAAGAAACACAATGTTCCTTTTTTTCTGGGGATTATTACAACTATTATATTGCATAGGTCAGGAGTTTTCAAAAGTGCCAAATATCTATTGACATTTTGGGCTGAATAATTATTTGTTATGGGGGCTATTTTGTGCATGGTCAACATTCCTAACATCTACCTACTAGATGGCCCTAGTACTCCCTCCCAACTAGGCAATGCCAATATTGCCCCTGATAGAGAAGTACTGACCTAGCTCTATTAATTTTTTAGGGGTTTCAAGGTGGTGAGAGTCTATCATCCTTTTCTCTTTATTATCTAAAATACATTTATAGAGAGAAACTTCCACCTCATCACTCTTTCATCCTCCTGAGGTATAGTTGGTATGAGAAAGGCAGAATAAATTTTTTAATTTTTCCCCTTTCGTTGCCACTTTTTAATACAACAAATGAGGTGAGGTTTTTTTCATTATAGTTATGAACTCACTGATGTGCATTTATTTGATGTGTCTTAATCCACAGCAGTTATTGTCTTTATTGATGTTCAAACTGTCCCATATTTGGTGAACGTGAGCCTATTTTAGTTTCTTCTTCCTGTTGTAAAAGTAGGAATTCCACAAGTTCCACCTTATCTTACAAAGTCCCACAAACTTTGTGACTCAAAACATTACAAAATTATTATCTTAACATTACAAAGGTCAGAGTCTGATACGGGTTCTACTAGGGCAAAATCAAGCTGTTGACAGAGCTGCGTTTCTCCCTGGAGACTCTGGGGAACATTCCATTTCTTGCTTTCTGCTTTCTGAGGTGACTTCCACTCCTTGGTTCCTGGCTCCTCCTTCCACAAGGCCAACAGCACAGCAAACCTTTCTGTGACTCTGATCCTCCACTCCATTCTGTCCTCCATATGATGACAGAGAAATGATCCTCTGTCATCACATATCTTTCTTCTGACCCTGATCCTCTTGCCTTGTTCTTTACAAGAAACTTGTGATTACATTAGGGCCACCCAGATGGTCCAGGACAATACCCCCATTTAAAAATCCTTCATTTAAATGCATCTGCAAGGCCCTTTTGTCATGTACAATAGCATATTCACAGGATATTCCATATTCACAGGATATTCCATATTCACACAGGAACCTTAGTGTGCTACTATTTGCTACCCCTCATTTTTGTACTTTTATTTTCAAAGATTTTACATTAACATAAGCTATGAATACAAATAATTGCTATGCTCTTTCAGCTTTTGCTGTGCAGAAGCTCTTTAGTTTAATTAGGTCAATTATCCTGTAGTCTGTTAAATATTTAAAAGTGAATTTTTTTTTTACTTTGTTATTCTTTTTTTTTATTATACTTTAAGTTTTAGGGTACATGTGCACAATGTGCAGGTTAGTTACATATGTATACATGTGCCATGCTGGTGTGCTGCACCCATTAACTCATCATTTAGCATTAGGTATATCCCCTAATGCTATCCCTCCCCCCTCCTCCCACCCCACAACAGTCCCCAGAGTGTGATGTTCCCCTTCCTGTGTCCATGTGTTCTCATTGTTCAATTCCCACCTATGAGTGAGAACATGCGGTGTTTGGTTTTTTGTCCTTGCGATAGTTTACGGAGAATGATGATTTCCGATTTCATCCATGTCTCTACAAAGGACATGAACTCATCATTTTTTATGGCTGCATAGTATTCCATGGTGTATATGTGCCACATTTCCTTAATCCAGTCTATCATTGTTGGACATTTGGGTTGGTTCTAAGTCTTTGCTATTGTGAATAGTGCCTCAATAAACATACGTGTGCATGTGTCTTTATAGCAGCATGATTTATAGTCCTTTGGATATATACCCAGTAATGGGATGGCTGGGTCAAATGGTATTTCAGTTCTAGATCCCTGAGGAATTGCCACACTGACTTCCACAATGGTTGAACTAGTTTACAGTCCCACCAACAGTGTAAAAGTGTTCCTATTTCTCCATATCCTCTCCAGTACCTGTTGCTGACACCTTTATCTTAGAAAATAAATTAGGCTACATCTCCTTCTTAGAACAAAATCCAAACTCTTCCTGTGCGGAGCCTGTTATGGTCCAGCTGCTCTTCCCTCCCCATTTGCACCTGCATCCTGTCTCCCTTCTTTCACTGCATGTGTTCATCCATCAAGGGTTGGGAGAAAACAGATAAATCTCTATAAAAAGAGAATGTATTTTTCTACAAGTCATATGTATTGATGGAGAAAATGATTCTAGACCTACAAGATATTTGTGTGTGTGAAATCTTGGACTTAATCTAATTTATTTATACATATTGCTTTTCAATGGAAATTTTGAATTCTATAGATTACTGTCATCAATGACTCGGCTAAAAATTGTGTAAATTTTCAAAAATAAAGCTGTTTTGATCCCCTACTTTTCAAAAGAAGAAAACCTGCTTTCGCAGTGGGCAAAAAGGGCAGTGCTGTCTTGGGAAGTTAGACTGTAAGCTTCTTGAGAGCAAGGAGGATGCTCCTTGTCGTCACAGTGCCTAACAATGCTGTTAAATTCATGCTCATTGTATAATTTATTGATGGACATGTTCTTTGCTATTTTAAGAGTTGCCTTTTATGAAGTATGTAAAGATCATACATGTTAGAATTTAGGATATTAGAAAATAAGGCTTTTTAAAATCTCCAGTGCAGAGATAATTGGTTAATAATACTCCTCAGTATATGGAATAACACGAGGGCCCTCTTACTAATTTTTGAAAATTTATTACAGTCATATATTGCTTAACAACAGAGACATGCTAGGAGAAATGTGTCATTAGGCGATTTTGTCATTAGGCAAACACCATAGAGTGTAGGTACACAAACCTAGATGGTGTAGTCTACTACACACCTAGGCTAGATGGTATAGCCTGTTCTCCTAGTTTACAAACCTGTACAGCATGATAGTGTACTGAATACCGTAGGCAATTTTAACACAGTGGTAAATATTTGTGTTTCCAAATATATCTAAACATAGAAAAGATAATGTGTTGCTATGACGTTCCAATAGCTGTGAAGTCACTAGGCAATAAGAACTTTTCAGCTCCATTATAATTTTATGGGACCACCATAGTATATGAGGTCAGTCATTGAGCAAAACATTGTTATGCTGCATATTGCATTAATTCTCTTTTATCTTATTCGTAATGTCCATTTCTTCCTGGTCTTTTGGCCAACTATTCTAATTTGTTTAATGCAATAAAATATGTTTGAGAGTGCATTTATGCATTTTTAAAAAAATGCATTATGTTGTTATCTGTTTGATTCTATGTATTCATTTTCTCCATTCAACACTATATTTTTTGGGTTTTTTTTTTTTGTTGTTGTTGTTGTTGTTTGTTTGTTTGAGATGGAGTCTCACTCTATTGCCCAGGCTGGAGTGCAGTGGCGTGATCTCAGCTCACTGCAACCTCTGCCTCCCGGGTTCAAGCAATTCTCCCCCTCAACCTCCTGAGTAGCTGGGACTACAGGCGCATGCTGCCTTGCCCGGCTAATTTTTTGTATTTTACTAGAGACGGGGTTTCACCGTGTTGCCCAGGCTGGTTGTGAACTCCTGAGCTCAGACAATCCTCCCGCCTCAGCCTCCCAAAGTGCTGGGATTACAGGTGTGAGCCACTGCGCCCAGCCTCAACACTATAAAGATTCATACATATTGCTAGTCTACAATTTCTAATTGTTCACAATGAGCAATTATGAATCCATGGTGTTCACAATATTCTAGCTTTCATTCCCGGTAGCTAAATATCCAATTCCCCAGCACCTTGGGATTCATATCATGACACAGGCTCACTTAAAGACCTGTGTGAAAATTTCTTTGGTGTATTTACAGAGGAACCGAGTTGCTAGGTCATAGTGATCCCCAGAATGGCTTTATAACTCTATACTCCTACTTCAGTGCACAATCTTTCCTTATGTACAACTTCAACAACACTTGGCATGTTTTGATTTTTTTTTTAGCTAAAAGATAAAATTGTTTTATGTTCCATTACTCTGAAAAGTAATCAGACACGGAGTTTTTTTCTCATGTTTTTCTCATGCTGAGTTCCTGATTCGCACCCATTCTCACTCTGTATCATTCTGTTCATGCCTTCCTTGTCTCAGTTCATGGTAACTTCGTCATTGCAGTGATGAGTCCATTCACCACTCCTTTTTCTCATACGGGACTCAAATCTGCAAAAATATCCTGTTGCCCCTACCTTCAAAATATGTGCGGAATATGATCACTTCTCACCTCTGCAGTCACTCCCTGGTGTGAAACACCACCATCTCCCACTTGGGTTACTTCAGTAGAACAAACTTCTCTGCTTCACTCTTGTGTCCCAGCAGTCAGAGGGAACCCTTTAAAATATAACTCAGCTTTGGGAGGCCGAGGCGGGTGGATCACGAGGTCAGGAGATCGAGACCATTCTGGCTAACATGGTGAAACCCCGTCTCTACTAAAAAATACAAAAAATTAGCCGGGCGTGGTGGCGGTGCCTGTAGTCCCAGCTACTTGGGAGGCTAAGGCAGGAAAATGGCGTGAACCTAGGAGGCGGAGCTTGCAGTGAGCCAAGATCCCGGCACTGCACTCCAGCCTGGGCGACAGAGTGATGCTCCGTCTCAAAAAAAAAAAAAATATATATATATATATATATGTGTGTGTGTGTGTGTGTGTGTGTGTGTACATATATACGTGTATATATACACGTATATATATATACGTATATATATACACGTATATATATATACGTATATATATACACGTATATATATATACGTATATATATGTATATATGTATATGAGTATGTATATGTGTGTGTGTGTGTGTGTGTGTGTGTGTGTGTATGTATATATATATATATATATATATATATATATATATATATATATATATATATATATAACTCAGGCCATGTCATTACCCTGCTCACACCCTGCATTTACTAAAAATAAAATCCAAAGTCTTTCTGTGGAGATGGGCCTGTTTTCTATCTAGACTCTTTTCCTGGGATGCTCTTTCCTTAGATAGCCACTTCCTCACCTCTGTCAATTTTTCATTCAACCATCATCTCTTCAAGGAGATTTACATGACTGACCTATTTGTTACAACAAACTTCCTTCCTGACCCATACTCCCACTCCTTCTCCCCTTGATTTATTTTCCAAAGAACTTATCTTTTCTAGCATTCTTTGCAATGTATGCATTTTTAAATATAGGTTTCCCTTCACTGCCCCATATATAAGCCCCTTGAAGGCAGGGCTCTTTGTTTTTTAAACTAGTATATGCCAAATATCTAAAATAGTGCCTGTCTTATAGAAGGCACAAAGTAAATATTTTCTGAGCGAGTGAAGCAAACTGTTAGCTATTTGGGTTTTTATTGTTGTACACTGCATGTTCATTTTCTTTGCCCATTTTTCCTTTGGGTTTTTTGCCATTTCTTTACTGATGGATATATTATAGGTGTTAGCCCTGTTGTGTCATACCTACTGCAAATACATACTTCTAATCTGCAATCCCTCTGTTCACTTTATCCATAGAGTCCTTTGTTGAACAGAAGGTCTTCATTTTGAGGCAATCAAATGCATCACTTTTTTATTCTGTGATTTGTGCTTTGGAAGTTTGTTTTTCTAAAAAAATAAAATCCTGCATGTAGGTCACAAAATACTATATTTTTTATTTAATTAGGTTTTTAGTTTTACCTACTATAATATTTCTTTAGTATATCTGACATTCACTTTTAAATATTTGTTAAATATAGATCCAGTGTTATGTTTTCCAGTGTTCCATTTATTAGACAATCAATTCTTTACTCATTCATTTGTAGTAATTTTAGTGTGTATTAAGTTTACCTATGTCTGGGTCTGTCTTTGAACTCTCTATTCATTCCTGTTTGTTATTTCATCTGTTCTTACACCATGCAATTCTAGCATTCTATTTTTTAAATTTAATAAGTCTTCCTACAGGGTATGTAAGATATCAAATAACATGAGCATATCCATTTTATTTGGTCTTTTTTCAAAGTTAATTCTGCTATTTATAGAGAGATTTATTTCTTATAAAATTTTGACTAATTTTAGTCTGAAGTTTCCCAAAAATTTCACCTGAAATTTTAATTGTTTATAGATTACTTTTGGAGAACTGATCTTTTAATATTAAATTGTCCAAGACAAAGCATGAAATGTCATTACAGTTATTCAGAAACTCTTTAATGTCCTATTTATAGTTTTAATACTTTCTCCATATTTGTTCAACAAATATTTGTTAAATATATTTTACATGCTGGACACCTTTCTAGGCAAATGAAAATATCTGTCCTCATGGAGTTTACTTTCAACTTAAGGGAAACAGACAATAAAAATAAGAAATAAGATACATGTTATGTTGGATGGTGTTAATTGCTAGGAAGAAAAATAATAAGGAAGGTAGATTAAAAATACTGGCCGGGAGTGGTGGCTCACGCCTGTAATCCCAGCACTTTGGGAGGCCGAGGCGGGTGGATCCCCTGAGGTCAGGGGTTCAAGACCAGCCTGACCAACATGATGAAACCCCATCTCCAATAAAACTACAAAAATTAGGCAGGCGTGGTGGTGCACTCCTGTAATCCCAGCTACTCAGGAGGCTCAGGGAGGAGAATAGCTTGAACCTGGGAGGTGGAGGTTGCAGTGAGCCAAGATCATGCCACTGCACTCCAGCCTGCACAACTGGAGTGAGATTCCGAAAGAAAGAAAGAAAAAGAAGGAAAGAGAAAGAAAGAAAGAAAGAAAGAAAGAAAGAAAGAAAGAAAGAAAGAAAGAAAGAAAGAAAGAAAGAAAGAGAAAGAGAAAGAAAGAAAGAAAGAGAAAGAGAGAGAGAAAGAGAGAGGGAGGGAAGGAGGGAGGGAGAGAGAAAGAGAGAGAGAAAGAAGGAAATAAATAAATAAATAAATGAATGAATATTGGGAGGACTGAAAGTTCTGGCAAAGAGTGCCATAGAAATCATGTATATTCTCTGTTAAAAAATTCCTACTTTATACAATTCCAACTTTATAATTTGTGTTGCTGTTATAAGTGACATTTTATTTTATTTTTCTAGTTGGTTATTGCTGGTGTACAGAAATTCCATTGATTTCTTTCTTTCTTTTTTTAAAGAGACAAAATCTGACCTTCTCCCCCAGGCTAGAGTGCAGTGGTGAAATCATAGCTCACTATAGCCTCAAACTCCTGGGCTCAAACCATACTCCTTGCTCAGCCTTCCAAGTAGCTGGGACTACACGTGTGCATCACCAATCATTGCTAAATTTTTTATTTTTTGTAGAAATAGGGTCTTTCTAGGTTGTCCAGGTTGGTCTTGAACTCTTAGTCTCAAGCAATCCTCCTGCCTTGGCCGCCCAAAGTGCTGAAATTACAGTTGTAGTCATTGATATCTCTGAGGTGGTCCTGTGTCTAGTTCTCTTATTAAGGCTAATAGATTGTTACAAAAATTTTCCTAGATATATAATCTTATCATCTGTAAATAATGATGGTTTTGCTTATAGTCTTTGTAAATCTTAATTATTTTCTTTTCCTATAGCATAGGCCAGGACCTCTAGTATCCTGTCTAATTGTAAGCTGTGAGAATAGGTATCTTTTCTTATTTCTGATTTAAAGAAATGCATCCAGAGAGTCTCCATCCAGTACACTGCTGTGGATTTGGAATATTTAACCTTTACCAAGTTAAGGAAGTTCCCTTCTAGTTCTATTTTTAAATGATTTTTTAAATCGATGGATAAATACTTCATCAAATGGTTTTTAATCCATTTATTGAAATAATCATATACATTTTCCAGTTTCAGTCTATTAAGTAGTTCATCATATTAGTCAATTATTTTATGGTGAGCTATCCC
Organism: Homo sapiens; assembly: GCF_000001405.40. Classification (NCBI taxonomy): domain Eukaryota; kingdom Metazoa; phylum Chordata; class Mammalia; order Primates; family Hominidae; genus Homo; species Homo sapiens. Next base: position 143,972,574 of record NC_000007.14, read on the forward strand.
TGCATCCCTTGGGAAAACCCATATTTTATTATGATACATTATTGTTTAAAAATTATTAGATTGCTCTAGCTAATATTTTATAATATTATATTATATCATTATATAATATTTATTATATTTATATTATATGATATTTATTATATTTATATTGTGTATAAGCCCTAGTGGGCTTATAATCCCCTTGCCTAGCCACATTCTTATTGCTTTATAGAATAAATACTATACATGCTCATAGAACGAGATTAGCAGACATATGAATCAGATAGGGCAGAGATAATCCCAAGTAAAGACCAACCTGTAAAGCACAGAACTTACAACAATAAATATTTATTTTCCTTCTCAAGGATCTTCTGCATGTTAGCTGTCCAAACAGTCAAGTAGTCTCACCTAGGCTATAAAGAAGGTTGTGAAATGCCATGTATTGCATTAAAACTTGGAAGAAAAAAGTGGAAATTGGATATTGATGGACAGAAGACAGTTGATATGATTTGTATATCTTTAAAAGATCCAAGATATTCAATTACCAGATTAATAGAAATCATGAGAGCTCAGCAAGGAGGTTAGCATTTCTATACTCAAGCCACAACTATAAAAATAATAGAAACTCTCCTGTGTACAATAACAACATAAACCATGAAAGAATAAATATGAAATAAATCTAATGATACACATGTAGGACATTTAGTGAGAAAGCTCTAATGATTTTTTAAAAGATATTTTTAAAAGTCCTAAAATAAATGAAGTGACAGCTACTTCTGGCAAAAAAGCAATTAATATCACAAAAGTCAAATTTTCTCAGAGTATGTGAATTCAAGGAAATAGCAATCCAAATCTAGAAGACACTGTTAAAAATGGTACTTGACAGATTGATTTAAAACCTCACATGAAAGAAAAGCCATCAAGCAAGAGTAATTAAAAGATTTTTGAGAAAGAAGTGAAATAAAGTGAGAAAGTACCTGTCTTACACCCTATCAAAGCATATCATGAAGTAACTACAATTAAAACTATGGTATTGGTGTAGAGAAAGACAAATGCATTAGTGAATCAAGATGCAGTCCAAAAAGAAACTTTCACATGTGGGAATCTAATATATCATATATTCATAATTTCAAATAAATTTAGGAAAATATATACTACAAAAAATGATGTTGTCACAAGTGTCTATACTAAAAGGCCAAAGAAATGTCATTTTTTTGCTTATACACCATAGGAAAAAATTAATTCGTAGATCTGAAGGTGAGGAAGTGTATTTTACAAATGAGTTTCTATTTGTTTCCTCCTAGAACTGTATAAATAACGGTAAAAAGAATAAGAAATTAGATAAGAAAGCCACAAAGTAAAGAAGACAGTAAGTAAGAAAAAAAAATATAATGAGAGATATCAGCAACATTTCAGGAGCTAGAAAGCAAACTTCTTCTTTTCCCTGGCCCTGCACTCCTTATCTCTTTTCTTTTTAAGATCCAGAGCTACCTCGGGCTCTAATGAATTTCTCTCTCCAACTCCAGCACTCACAGGGGTGGGGAGCTCTGTTTAAGCAGATTGTTCATTGTGCTTAGAAAGTGGTTCTCAGACCACTGGCCAGAAAAAGATACCATTGTGTCAGCTTCAGAACAAGCCAGGGAGAAGAAATTATAAGCTGTCTTTCCTAGGGCTATGCCAGGTAGCTGAGCAGACAGTAAGAACAGCCTGCGGCTTTCATATTAACAATGCACACACGGAAATCTCCACTCTCACCCTTGGGTAAGGGGAGATAGAGAAATGCATTGCAATTCTACAGGTTTTGCTGCACAATGCTTAGTATCCTCACTAAAGATCTATTATTAATGCTTCTGGGAAGTAAAATTTCTAAGTTAAAAACCAGGATAAGGTCTGTCTTCCTCCAAGTAAAGACAAGACAAAAGTTCTAAGAAGGTTACCGAAGGTTGTGGTAGAATTCCAAACCCGGAGAGCAAGCAGCCCACTATAAAGCAACATCTCACTGGGGACTGGTATAAAAAAGTTTCACTGCCCATGCTCAGACCAGATTATCCACACAGAGCATTCCAATGGTCTCCTAAGTTGCCTGGACCAGGAGCTATTGCTCAAACAGAAGTTGAAATGGGCGAATTGGAATGAGGAAGTAGAGATTTAATCACATTTACAAGCCCATAAAGTGGGATCAAAGTTCTCTCCATCCAAAGGTGGCATCACTGAAGACTCAAACGTAACCCTGTTGGGAAATTAAAGTTTGGTGAGCCCCTTCCCATGCTCCAGGGACAAGGAGATAAAACTTGTATTTGCAAAGTTGAATGTAGGTTAGGATATTAGGTGCATACATGACCATACAGAGGGGGAGGGAAAATAAAAGAAGTCAAATAAACAAAATATAATTGGCCGCCTGAGATTTCATCCCTAAAGTTAGAGAAAGTTATCTGTTCCAACTGCACTTTCTTCAAATTCCACGACTTTCCCAGCCCTGCCATCCTTCCAAGGTACAGGATGGCGTTCTTCACTCTCCACAGGTGAGTCAGGAATTTTCCTTGATTCTTCAACATTTAATTGTCAACACAAATGATGAAACCAGGTTTCTGTAATCCCTGGCCTTCTCCCATAGTCTTCAGGCCTGAGGGTATGGTGGCTTGATAAAGTTGTCAACCAGTGGAAATCTGTCCTAAGAAAATGTGTTCTGGGTATTCAAATTAGGAAGCCAGAACTTTTCAAGTGATTTAAGGGTTCTCAACCTTTAGGATGGGGCTAAGCTTCCTAAGGAGTGAGCACCAGGTCCTTTTTCCTTTATGACCATTAATTCTTTCTTAGAGAAGAGTTAGACTTTTCACTTTCTCCCATAGATAGCTTACAATAAGTTTCTTCATTTATTGATTCTTATTTACATTTCAGTATCCACTTCCCTTTCCCCATTTTCTCATTTTGTATAATTTTCTCTCTCAGGTATTTATCCATCTATTTATTTATTTATTTATTTAAATTTGGGATAATTTTTTTGAGAAAGGCTTTTAATGTATATATATATATATATCACAGTACATGAAGATTTTTTTAAATTGAGATGAAATTTACACAACATAAAATTAACAACATTAAAGTGTACAACTCAGAGACATTTAGTTCATTCACAGTATTGAGGTTCCATGTTTGTATGTGTACAGGCAAGGAGGCATGAAAAGTAATGTGTGGAAAGCTTGAGCATGTGAGTGTGTCTGTATGTGGAATCCAAAGGGGGCGACATGGAGAGCATTCTTGTGATTATGCAAAGAACCCCTGGTTCTTTCCTCCCTCTACAGGGATTTTGAGGTAACCATGTGGCCACTCAGCATTATACCTCTGCCTTTGGCATGATTAGCAAGTAACCTGGAAACACAGCCCCCTTTTTATTCTAGTGTGACTGTAACTACACAAATAGTGGGAGATATGTTGGCATGATCTATAAGCTCTCACCACTACAAAGAATAGATTCTAAGTTCCCGATGGGAAACAGCTAAGAAGGAACAAATCTTTCCAACTGGGTAAGACTCATCTCTTCAGTACAGGATCTCTTATCAGTCTTCAACTTTTTCTTGTTTTACCTACACAAAACTATGCTGAAGTTCAAATTTTCTTCTGAAGGCTAATTTTTAAATATAAGTACTCACCTTTATCTACTTCTGATATTAGCTCATTTGTAATTAACAAGTTAAAATTGTATACATTTATGTGTACAACATGATGTATTTATGGTGTACATGTTTTGATACCTGTATACATTGTGGAATGGATAAGCCAAGCTAATTAACATATGAATTGCCTCACGTGCTTATTATTCTTTTGTGGTGAGAATACTTAAAATCTACTCTGTTAGCAATTTTCAATTATATCATGTATTGTTATTAATTATAGTCACCATGATGTATAATAGAGCTCTTGAATGTATTCCTCCTGCCTAATTGAAATTTTGTATTATTTGACAAACAGCTCCATCGTATTCCCATTATTTTCCATAATCAGAGCTCTTTAATTTTTATTAGAGGGGAAAAACAGTCTCTCCAACATGTACCCACTGTAAGCTGTTGTGCTCATTACTGTATCAGACATAAAGCATGATTACCTTTTCAAATGTGTAAAAGAGGCTAGTTAATCATATACAACAAAAAGAATCCCTAAATGAGGAAGATGCTGGTGTTTCTCCTCTTTGACCTGTTCCCCATGAGGCTAGAAAGCCAAATGTCACCTTCATGGGCAAGTGGGGATAAGCGTACTCCGGTGCACTGTGACTCTTGGAATAGTCAGTCTCTGAACTGAATGAGATCAAAAGTAGAAACTCAATTAGTCCTCTTGATTCATCTGATTTTTACATTCATTTACTCCTTGGCCTTTAAACCAGGCTTATCCAACCCATGGTCCATGGGCTACATGGATGGCTTTGAATGTGGCCCAACACAAATTCATAAACTTTCATAAAATATTATGAGATCATCTTTGCAATTTTCTTTTTAGCTCATCAGCTATCATCATTGTTAGTGTATTTTATGTGTGGCCCAAGACAATTCTTCTTCCTTTGAGGCCCAGGGAAGCAAAAAGATTGGACACCCTGCTCTAAACAGTGACTATCATTGTGCATGACACAAGGCCATGCTATAGATAGGAGTGGCACAATGGATGCACACCAGATTCACAGATAATCCTTGGTTTCCTACTGACTCCCACTTTCTAGGCATATCACCTCCTTTTCTCACCTGTAAAATATAGACAACAAGCAAAAGTTTGAAATGATGTTGTGATTACACTATATTATATTATGTGAATAGATGTATATTTAGCATAATGACTGGCACAGAGTATGTTCTCAGAAAACAGTAAGTATAAGGTTATCCCAATGTCATATAGAGATCAATGCACTCACAACTTAATTATTCTCCTAATATTCTTTCCACCCCATGAACTTTGGACTTTGCCTAGCCAAGAGTGCTTCAGGAGCTTGCTTGTTTTCTTCCCACCACTTTCCACAAAAATAGTAGACAAATTGAAGAAAATTTTCTGAAACCAAATCCAATCATTCAATGATTTACTGGGCAATTGAGTTGGGTAAGTTATTTGAAACGATTTTACGAAGAAACTGGTTTTGCTTTGACTTTAATGCCTGTCACCTTAAAAAATATCAAATATATTTTTTGTGGGGAAAAAACCCAAATCGACTACATTGTTTCTGAGCAAAAACAACATGGCTTGAAGTATAAATACTCTCCTTTTGCATAGGTTTTTGGAGAAAGGTAGAAAAATACATTTTGTTTGTTCAATGTTTGTTCACTTTTTTTCTTTAAGCCTTTGTTATAGAAGTGTCAAGTATAAACGAATCCAACCTTAACCATAATTTCCACATGGATGCCACCTGTGTGCACGTCATCCCCAATGATAGTATCTGGAAAACTTGCTGCATCACAGTTGCGTTTGAGCTCTTGGTAGGCAGCACTAAAGAAAGGGTATTTGAAGTAAGTCTTGCATACGATGTAGGACAAATCACTGGTATTCCTTTAAAGAGCAGGTCACCATAGAAACATTTCCGAGAAATTCTGCATCCCATTTTGGTATGTTTTAAGTTTTATTTGTGATATACATAGTTGTTTAGTTCATTTGTTTAAATCCTATAACAAAATAGTAAACATAAACAACTAGTACTTCCTTCAGTATTCATACTGTCAGCAATAAGCAATTGGAGAGTGTGTATGTGTGTGTAATATATATAAGTGTGTGTGTGGATAGATAGATAGATAGATAGATAGATAGATAGATAGATAGATAGATAGATAGATGATAGAGAGTTATAATTCCCTTCTAAACCTGAAGATTTGCAGATATCTGCAGCCATCATGATGTTAGGTGGGAAGGAGAAAATGAAGGAAAAAAGCAAACGCTCCCATATGGAGGAAATATAGTTCAAATCTTCAGATTTAAAATAACACCCCCAGAGAAGGTACTTATAATGAATTTTTTAGAAAACTCCATTGCCTGTCAAAATGAACCTAGCAACCCCCCTCAATCTGAACTGTATTCTGAGAACTACAGTGTAGGAAGCCCTAGGTTGGGAACAAAGTAGTAGGAAGAGGAAGAACGGATGGGTCTTACACTTAGTGGTATTATGTAATATAGTCTCTTCAGCTGTTGGTAAATCTCTAAAAAGCATTCGGGTACCACAAGTACATTTACACCAGGATAGATGGACATTGTAAACATCACCAGTGCATATTTGTATCAGGCCTTTCATGACTAGGAAATTTCCTGACTCATATGTCTCTAGAACAAATACTTTTTATGCTAGTATAAAATGGGGCAGAACAAAAAGAAATTGATGTACAAATAGATATAGCACAACAGAAAATTACAAGAAAGGAAACAAAATAATTAACAATGTTATTATTTTTAGTTATGGGGATTAAAATCTGTTAACTCTGAACATTCGAGCAAAATATTGCTCTTAATTATAAATTACCTATTTGTGATATTTTGAATCCTTTTATCTTTTCACACCATGAACAACCTTACACCTTTAAGCATTGTGCATTTTTTTCCCCAGTCTTATAGCTGAGCATTAATTGTCTGATGATTTTGGGATGGATGACTGAAAACTCTCAGTGCAAGGTATTGAATGTGGTGCCTCATGTTAAGTGATCATTTTCACGAATTTTTATTTGACACCCAGTTTCTGAAAGCTCTATGTTTTTAATAAATTCCTTGGTGTCTCGGACCCTATTAAACAAACAATACTAAATCCTGAATATTTTATGAGCAACCATCTGAATATTGCTGTCTGCATAATAATGAACTTTAAAGTACCCGTATCCCCTGTGTTATAAGTCATGTGATCTCTGACAGTCATTTCAATAGTTTTTAGGCTGAGACTAGAACCTTTCAATAAATTCAACTGTGGTATGCTGTCCCTTATGGTTACATCATGACTAGGGTAGAGCCATTGGAATGCCAACCAAATTTTGGTGTAAATCCTTTATGTACTTTTGCAAGATTCTCTCCAAGACCTCATACCCTGTCTAAATTCTTTGGTTATGAATCACTTCCTTCAGTAACTAAGCAAATATTTAAAAAGTTTTGATTTGGTGTTCAAAGAACTACTACTAATGTGAGGTGATATCTTCTTGTGATTTTTCTTAGCATTTCTCTGGTAATTAGTGATGCTTAACATTTTTTCATATACCTGTTGGCCATTTGTATGTCTTCCTTGGAAAAATATCTATTTAGTTCCTTTGCCCATTTTTAACCTTTTTTGGGCTGAGCTGTGGGAATTTCCTGTATATTTTGAATATTAATCCCTTACCAGATACATGGTCTGAAAATACTTTATCCCATTCTGTAGGTTGCCTTTTCATTTCATTGATTGTTTCCTTTGCTGTGCAGAAGCTCAAAAAAGTAGTTTTTTAAAAAAAAAAAAAAAACTACTACCTATGTCACTATGTTCTAGAATTAAAGCCTTATCTTCTATCTTTCTATCTTCACTGGTGAGAACTGATCCATTTTCTACAAGAAATGAATAAACTATCCTATCCCTGAGAAAACATCAATATTGAGTAATAATCTGACGTCACTAACCACTTCATTAAGTTCACCTTGTGGGGGATAAGAGATTAATTTTAGCAATTTTGTATATCTTATCTTCGTGCAACACCTGATCCCTGGAAGTTGGCCACCTTGTGTTGGTCTTGGCTTACTGGGCCCCTTGCATGAGATAGGCAGGGAGGAAGCATTTCCACTTGACACTCTAAAGGCAAAAGGGCAAATTACAGAAAACAAACTCAAAATTGTTCAGTTATAAAATGTCTATGAAGACTATTCAAAATGTTCAAGATCTCATGGATGCATTCCACTGAGGAGAGGTGAGTAGAGTTGTGTCTGAGATGTCCAGAGGAAAAACCCAATAAACAAAAAGAAGTTAGATGGTGGTGAACAGCAGTCAGAACTCAGACATATATTTCATATGGATAAAAAAACTTTCTCATTTCTTCTGTAAAAACTACTAAACTGAATAAGACTTTAAGTCTAAATACTGCATTAATTTCCTTCCCCTATTTAAGAGCAGATGTTTGGGAGAAGAAATTATATTCCAATAAACTGAATTTTAAGAATGTAACTTCTTTTTTCCTTGATTTCCCTGCACAGCTGGGTCCCACTGTGGTCCTCATGCCTGGATGCATTGTTCAAGCAGAGTTTGGATGGTGATTTGGCTGAGACATTCTAGGTGGACTTTATGTTCAGATGGGTGGGTTCTCCATATGCCCTACGAATCATCTTCTAATCCTTCATTTCCATGACTGGTTATTTCTACATCTTTAGTGTGGTCCTTGGAAGCTCATGGGTCAGGAAAATAAAAACCAGACATGGGTGAGTGAGTTCATTCTGCTGGGGATTTCCAGTGATTGGGGCATTCAGGTATCCCTCTTCGCCCTGATCCTGGCCATGTATTTGGTGACTATTTTAGGAAACACCCTCATTCTTCTTCTGATCAGACTGGACAACAGGCTTCATACCCCCATGTACTTCTCCCTTAGTGTTCTGTCATTTGTGGACTTTTGTTATACAAAGAGTATTGTCCCACAAATGCTGTCCCACTTGCTCTCAGCCCGAAAGTCCATCCCATTCTACAGTTGTGTGCTCCAGCTCTATGTTTCTCTGGCATTGTGTGGGTCTGAGTTCTTCCTGCTGGGGGCCATGGCCTATGACCGCTACGTGGCCGTGTGCCACCCACTGCACTACACGGTCATCATGCATGGAGGGCTGTGCCTGGGGCTGGCGGCCAGCCGCCTGGTGGCTGGCTTCTCAAATTCCCTGATGGAAACAATTATCACCTTCCAGCTTCCTGTGTCACGGTGTTATCAATCACTTTGTCTGTGAGACCTTAGCAGTGCTACAGCTAGCCTGTGTGGATGTCCCCTTCAACAAGGTCATGGTGGCCATCTCAGGGTTTCTGGTGATCTTGCTTCCCTGTTCCCTGGTTCTATTCTCCTATGCTTGCATAGTTGCCACCATTTTGTGCATTCGTTCTACCCAGGTACGCTGCAAAGCCTTTGGGACCTGTGCCTCTCACCTCATTGTGGTTTGCATGTGCTTTGGGGCTACCATCTGCACCTACCTGGGGCCACAGTTGGCCTCCTCAGCAGAGGAAGAGAAGATGATTGCTCTCTTCTATGGAGTGGTGTCACCCATGTTGAACCCCTTGATCTACAGCTTGAGGAATAAGGAAGTTACGGCTGCTGTCCGGAAAGTTTTAGAAAGATGCAGATAAAGGGTCAAGACTCTAAGAACCTCTTGTTATCTATCATCAAAACCAAAAAGGAGATAAGATAATTGTAGACAGGACTCCCACACTTACACTAAAAGAAGACTATTACGGTCAAATCCTTGCATTTGAACCAAGTGTTCCTCCAAATGCTTAATTTGTTTTATATAGGCCAATATCTGAAGATATACATGTTAGGGATCGATAATATGGCTTCTTTGTAGACATCTTCTCTCAGATATCCAGTGACTTGGGGGCTTCACCTGCCCACTTTTGGTTTTATCAGTTTGTCAGTGCATAAAGGAATGGTCCCCATTATCAAGCAGACCTGACTCCTGATCCTTGTTCTGTCTCTCACTGCCTGTGCTCTCTGGCAAGTTATTTCAATAATATATGCCTTAGTTTTCTTTTTTGTTAGATAAGAAAATTGTACCTAGCTTCCCGAATGGAAGCCACTTTTAATGGGAATAATTTCCTCATGAAACAAACATAAGGATATGCCACACTTATTAATAAACACTTATTAATGCATTTATTTCAGTACAGTCAGATTGTGAGAGGCAGAAAATATTGAGAAATCATGGTTTAAATAAAATAGACATTAATTTAGATTTAGGCAAGGTAAGCCTGCCTAACTTAAAGTTATAGGAATTGAGGCTTCTTCTGTTTCTAATGCACTATTCTAGGCATATAACTTCTACCTCATAGTTCAAGAAATGGCTTGAATTTCAGCCAACACATTCACATGCTGTCCATCAAAAATAAAGAAGAGGCCAGGTGGGGTGGCTCATGCCTGTAATCCCAGCACTTTGGAAGGCCAAGGCGGCGGGAAAAATCACTTGAGACCAGGAGTTTCAGACCAACCTGGCCAACATGGTGAAACCCTGTCTCTACTAAAAATACAAAAATTAGCCGGGCATGGTGGTGCATGCCTGTAGTCCCAGCTACTTGGAAGGTTGAGGTGGGAGAATTGCTTGAACCCGGGAGGCAGAGGTTGCAGTCAGCTGAGATCATGCCACTGTACTCCAGCCTGGGTGACAGAGTGAGACCCTGTCTCAAAAAATAAATAAATACATAAAAATAAAGAAGAGAGGAAGGAGCATACCCACTTCCTTTAGAGACCTTTTAAAAAACTCACACAAAAAAAATTGTTGCACAAATTCTGCTGGCAAAGTTAAACTTAGTTACTTGGCCACATACATACTCAAAGGTGATAAGTGTTACTGTTAGTAATCATGTGCCTAAAACACAATCAGAGCTTCTGATATTAAGAAGGAAGAGGAGAATAAATGTTGATAGATCTAATAATTTGTGACCATAGTACTTGCAAGAAAATTAAACACATCAGGTCAATGAAAGACGAGGTGATAGGACAGCAGAATGAGATACAAAAGGAGCTAAGGATTCCAGGTAAAGTAGGGACACACACACACACACACAAACTATTTCAGATTTTAAAAGGACATTAAAGCAGTAAACAGCAAAAATTAATAATATAGAAAAGTTAATCTGTTGTTTGGAATCCAAAAGAAGATAACTGATACAGACAAAAAAGAAACAACATATGGATAATTAGTATTTCTGATGAAAAGACTGAATAAAAATATTTTTTACGTTTAACTATAATTTATAAAAATGTCATTTAAATAAAGGAAGAATTTGTTATTTAGATGAAAGAGCCTTGCCATGTACCTGAAAATTAAAGAAAAGTAAAAGTATTTATGGATATATTGGTAAAAATGACTGAATTTCAAGTATAATGAAAGGATAATAAAGATTCAGAAAACAAACAAAACAGAAAAGTCACTTAGAAAAATGTTAAGCAAGTGCATTAATTTTCTAGTGCTGTGTAACAAATTGTAATAAATTTATAAGTTTAAAAGAACACAAATTTTTTATCTTAACATTCCTGCTGGTGAGAAGCATAGCCAAGTTCTGAACTCAGGGTCTCACAAGGCTCAAATCAAGGTATCAGCTGGGGTTGTGATCTCATCTGGGACTCAGAGTCCTCTCTCAAACTCACCAGTCATTGGAAGAATTCATTTTCTTGCATGTGTGTGACTGAGGTACCCATTATCTTGTTTGTTGCTGGCTGGTGGCTCCTCTAAGCTCCTGGAGGCCACCCTCAAGTCCTTAACCCATGGCCCACTCCTCTCACGACATGGCAGCTTGCTTCGTCAAGAATGACAGGAGAATCTCTATTGTGTCAAATCTCTCTGATGGCTAAGAAAGTCTGGACACTTTTGAAGTTCTCACCTGATTAGGTCAGGCTCACTCAGGATAATCTCCCTTTTGTGTAAATCCAATTCAGCTGATTAATTACATCTTCGAATTCTGTTTTTCCATGTAGTGTAACATTATCACAGGGGTGAAATCCCATCATATGTCACAAGTCCTGCTCATATTGAAGGGGAGAGTATTGTACAGGACATGTACACCAAGAAGTGAGACTCTTGCGGGCCAGGTTGGAATTCAGCCTATGACAGCTAGAATCGGTCTTTGAAATATTAGATGACAGGGACAATAACATCTTTCTATAGAATCCTGAGTGAACATATTGTTAAATAAAAGTTGCATACCTAGTTAAGCCATCATTCATTTTTAAAGGCTATAGATATATACAATTCCATATGCAAAAGTTCAATAAAATTATTACCCATATACCCTTCATGAAGACTGTAAAAACTCTAACAAAAATGTAGGCCAGATGCGGTGGCTCACACCTATAATCCCAGCACTTTGGGAGGCCGAGGTGGGTGGATCAACTGAGATCAGGAGTTTGAGATGAGCCTGGCAAACATGGTGAAACCCCGTCTCCACTAAAAATTAGCTGGGCGCGGTGGCAGTTGCCTGTAATTCCAGCTACTTGGGAGGCTGAGGCAGGAGAATCACTTGAACCCTGGAGGCAGAGATTGCAGTAAGACGAGATTACGCCATTGCACTCCAGCTTGGGAGACAGAGCAATAATCCGTCTCAAAAAAAAAAATGGTAGGAACAACTTAGGATGGCTTAAAATAAAATGCTGGGAGGCATGAAAGTTAAGTTGTGATAGGATAGGTAGCAAACTAAAGCCTTTTGAGTAGATAATTGCGTTTTTAAAAAGACTGCAAATTGACAAGGCAGCCACTCCAGCTCAACCAGAAAAAGTGGCAAGCTGCGACTTGACTAACTGGCCACGTGGGTACTTGAACCAGCCAATGAGGCAGCAAGAGAAGGATGTGAGCGTCACTCTGGGCTCTGCAGAACTCCAGCCCCTGCCACTGCCTCACTCCTATGCTCAGTGCTGCAAGCTGGAATTTTTCTACACTTAAAATGCCACCAGCAGTTGGAAGTTCAGTTGGATACACCCCTTCAGACAGATGTTGGGGGTGGGCAGTCGTAGTGGAAGCTTTCATTTCCATCAACTTCTCTTAGCATTTCTCAAATATATTACTGTCTTCTTCAAAGAGATGGAAGGTATACTCCATGCCACCACCAGCAAAGTGTCACAGATATGCTCCATCATGCTGCCTGTCATGTATGGTGGAGGTCTCATCAGCAGTATCCTGGTGAATAATTTGGCAGTTGTTCAGTCATGATTGTTGGTGTTGCTTGTCAGGCTGTAGCTTGATTGTGGCTTCTTTCTGTAGCATTATACAGGAACTTTACTTGTGTATAGGAATCATTGGAGGTCTTGGGCTTTCCTTTAACTTGAACCTAGCTCTGACCATGATTGGCAAGCATTTCTATAGGAAGTGACCATTGGCCAACAGACTGGCCATGGCAGGCAGCCTCTCTATGCTGGCCTCCTCAGTAAGGCTTTCTTTGGTATCTACGGATGGAGAGGAAGCTTCCTAATTCTTGGGGGCTTCCCTGCTAAACTGCTGCGTAGCTGGAGACCCGATGTGACCAATAAGGTCCAAGCCAACAAAGGCAGGGAAAGAGGTCTAAAGAATTCCTTCAGGAAGCTGAAAAATCAGATGCAAAAAAGGTGCAGGTGATACAATACAGATCTTATTGGAGGACACCCAAAAGAAGGGAAATGATTAATCTTCCAAACAATTAATACATTCTTGTACTCATCCCTGTTTACTCAGAGAGATTTTTTTTGCTGTACCTCTCTGGAAATGTGCTCACATTTTTCTGGACTCTTTACACCTTTGGCCTTTCTCAGTAATGATGGCAAGAGTCAGTATCACTCCAGGAGAAGTCTGCCTTCCTTCTTTCCCTTCTGGCTTTTGTTGACACACAGCAAGGCCTTCTATGGGACTTGCAGCCAACACAAAGCAGATAAGGCCTCAAGTTCTCAAGTTCAGTATTTCTTTGCTGCTTCCATTATCATGAACGGAATGTGCCATTTGCTAGCACCTTTATCCACCAGCTATATTGAGTTCTGTGTCTCTGTGGGATTCTTTGGATTTACCTTAGTGGCTCAGTTCCATATTGTTTGAAATACTGATGGACCTCATTGGACCCAGAGGTCCTCCAGCACTGTGGGTTTGGTTTACCATTGTGGGATGCTGCTGTGTGGGATGCTGCTGTGTCCCCCTGGGGCCACCATTTTTAGGTAATCTCAATGACTTATTGAAATTACAAATAGACATATGGGCATATGGCATAATCTTAATTATTGCAGGTGTCTAGCTCTTCATTGTTAGGTGATAGGTATCAATTATCAACTTTTGGTAAAAGAATAGAAAGCAGAAGAGAAACAGGAAAAGGAAAGTAAAAAGAGAAGAACAGCATAGATGTTACTGAGAAGTCCAAAGTAGTTACTAAAGAAGAGGACTCCCCTAACTAGAAAGGTACAGAAGATGGCCCCAGTGAAGAGGAGAGTCCAGGCTGTACCCATTCAGCTAAAGGGTAAATGGAGCAGTTCATGACCCAAGATATCTGAAAATATTCTCCTGGCCTGGGATCTACCAGTGGTGCTCAATGCAGATAACAGACATTTGTGTGGAAACCATACCAGGTGTTCATTGATGGAATTTTTGTTTCACTCCTTACCAATAGCTTAAATTTAAAATGCCATATGCTTTGGGGAGGGGGTGGTTGATGGTAAAGGATGAGGGAAGGAAGTAGGTTTTGTTTTAATCTTAGCTTTTAACAGTGTCATGAAGATTTTAACATGTGCCTTACAGTTTAGTCTTTAGAAATCTTCAGAGAACTTTTAAAATAATTCTGCTGAATTCATGTATTTTGAGTGTTGTGTTAAAAAGAAAAACCATAACTAACTTGAGATGAATTTAAAATTTAAAAGTAATCTTGCTTCTTTGGCATTTGTAATGTATTGTCAGATATGGTCACTGGAAGATTTATGAATAGAAACGTTGGTTGAAAGTTGGAGATTTTATAAAATGCTGATGAATATGTTTTTCCAGCATCAGTAGTTTTTCTGGCATATGGTTCTGCTATCTATATATTTAGGAAATTTGAAGCATAAAACTTTGGAAGCATCTTGGCTGTTCTAGCCAGATTGTACTTGTCGACACTTCTTGGGTACCATTTCTTGGGATACTTATTAGAAGTCAAATAAGTACTTAAGGGTTGTTTTTATTAAAATACTACTTTGCTCCCCTGTTTAAAGACAGATTTTGAATGGTTATAAATTATTGCCCCTGCTCAAATCACTTGGTATTATTTTTCTCACTGTAAAGGTTAGTATTAAAAATTTCAAAACTATGTATTTGTGACTTCTTAGTAAATACAGCACATCCAATTAAATGTAGACATATTTCAAACATCAGTTGAATTCAGTTTAGGTTTTCCCAAAGCCTTGGTTAAATCATGAGACTATTGGATCTTTTTTGTGAAAGTTTTCTCCTTTGATTCACAGAGGTCTCATTTATATCTGATTCTAGCTTAGTGCTGTGTGTGAGATATACTCTCTGTGTGTTTGGTGGGGTTTTTCTTGTTTTGTTTTGCTTACTTTCACTTTTAGTTTGAATCTTTGCAAATTAAAGAGGGCCAGAAAAATGTGGCACCAAGCAAGCAGATAAGGATAAGGTTATGAGAGAAATTGCTAAGTGTGCCTAGTTTTAATGACTATTTTTTTTTCTTTTTTCTGAGAAGGCCTTAAAGAAAATCATGGTATACTTAGAATTATTGGACACATACTTACTCTCCACACAAAGCTAAAAATTATGTGACCCATTTCACTGACCTGAAAAGTAGAGAAGTAGAAGTAGATTCTACATCAGGATAAAAGAGGGGGTGGACCAAAACAAAAACTAAATATTTCTTATATTCAATGCATTTAATTGACAGAATGAACATATTAGATACAAAACCTTGTGTAAGAGGCTGACTTTTCCAAATAAACTTCTTTTATGGAAAAATAAAAAGCTGTACATTTCTCTCTGTTGAAAGGAAAGAAATAAAAGCCAAAGTGATAACTTAAAAATGAAGCTGCCACCCACAGGGGATGAGGACTTGGATGGAGCCCAGCATCAACAAGTAAGTTTTAATTAGGTCTGATTAAGCACTTCCCTCTAGGAGGCCATCCTAAACAATTTCTTCCTGCATCACAACCCTGTTTATTTGAACTCAGCAGGAAGTTCATACTTTACAGGTGGTCTTTCTTCGTCTTGGTTTTTATCTCCATTTGGCTTACACATCTGAGCAAATTACTCACCTCCTGTGATTCCAAAATCAACCCGAAAGTGATATTACAAAGTTATTGTCATGAAAATGTGATCAAATAATAGGTAGCCAAAACATAGGGAGCAGAGATTTAGAGAGTTGTGTCAGACATCTAATAGATAAAAATATTTTATTTTTATAAACTTTTGATGTTTAAGGTATTTTCTACCTTATAAAACTTAGTTATCCATCATTTTACACTCTAAATAAATGTTTATTTTCATACAATCTTTGTTTATTATTTTATGTTCCTTTCCCTAAAGGGTACCTCGTAAATTATCTGTTTCATACCCCACAAAACCTGAATGTATTTTTACCTGAATTATTTAAATCATAAATTTTTCATTTTCTCCTGCATCATTTCCATAAGCACAAATTTCATATGCCTTTGCCATCTGAAGGAAAAATGAACCTCCTTAAGACCACATCACACCTACCACTTGAGAATAAATCATTTTTAGATTTAAAAAAATAGATCACATTATGTATCACCTTACAGACATGGTCCCATTTCACTATGCTCCTTTACATAGAGATTCCCTGAAGGAACTAACTGCACCTTTCATTCCCATGTTCTCCCCTTCAATCACTGCCCATGAGGTGGAAATTAAAGAAGAAAAAATAAAATTAAAAAGAAAAAGAAACAAACTTTCCTGTATTCAGCTGACTTATCCCAGAGGCAGCAACAGACATGGCCCAGACCCAGGAAAAGCCTCAATAAACACTATCTGAGAAACTAGGACACAAAGGAATGTGCTCTGGAGACTCTCCCAGCACTCCCTCAACATAGGAAGGAGAAAAACAAATTTTCTTTTCTCTTATGGTATGAGTTTATAGATTTCTGTTCTCTGCAACTAGTAACTTCAAATTTTCTGTTTTATCTAAGCAGTACAGTGAAGGTCATGAGCTGTTTGAGCAGGCCTGAGCAACAGCCACCTGGGTGTCATAGCGAAGGTTATGAGATAAGCCCATGCAAGATGCTAGAGCAAAGCCTAGATAACAGCCATCTGGGCTGTGCATCAAGGGTCATGTGTAATTCTGGGTTATGCACCTGTCACAATTTGATTAACTGCCTTTGTTCTGCCTCTGTATCCTTGCTTTCATGCCTTTACGCTTCATGCTACTGTACGCTTGTTTCAAGCTAGCCCACTCCCTTTCAAAGGTGTGTATGTAAGTCAAGTGCTGTCTTTGTTCTTGGCCCAGTTTTTGGATGTTAAGTCTGCTGGGTCTGCGTGCACTCAATAAGGATCCTCTGGTATTCACCCCGTGGTCTCTCTTGTCCTCCTGATTCCTGCAACACTCAGTCTAAACTAAGATTTTGATCCCACCATTCGTCCAAAATAGCTAGTGTATAAATCACTAGAATTTTTCATGTTGCTAAAACCAATGGTCAATTTCAGTCCTCATCTCACTCGGCCTCTCTAGCAGCATATGACACAGTGGATCCCACATTCTCCTTGAATTCCTGTTACCTCATCAGAAAGTTCTCAGACTCCTGTGCAGAAGCCACATTCTCTTCTAGATGTCTATATATTAGATGATTAAGGATTCAAATACAATCTCAAATCCAAGTACACTAATACCCAAGTTGATCTCATCTAATTTTATAATATCAGTAAACACTAAGGACTCCCAAATTATACACATCCAGCGCTGCTCCAGTATCCAACTGCCTACTTGATAACTCTATTTAGATTTTCACATATGCAAGCAAGTCTCTACTTTTACTCCCCTCACCAAAATATTCCTCTTTCTTATCTTAATATATGGCATCATAATTTTTATACTCTTGTTTCCTCCATTTTCCTCATTACATATTCAATCCATAATAAGCAAATCCTATTGTCTCCACATTCAAAATATTGATTTTAGAAGCCATGTAGAATTATGCAAAGATTACCTGCCATGAAAAATTAAAGAGCTTCCTAAGCAAAAAAAAAAAAAAAAAAAACATAAATAAAATCTCTTTTTCAGTGTTTGAATCTCATCTTTCATGACAGGTAATTTTTGATTGAGTGTTGGACACTGTGTTTGGAAAACTGAAGGAGTAATTTGAGGCTCTACATAATGTTATCCTCCTCAAGAGAGGATTTATTTGACTTCTATCAGGCAATTATCTATGAGCTTCTTTATGAAGCATTTTTATTTTTGTAATTTCTTCTTACTCCCAGAGAAGAATACTTTAGAAATCCCAGCTGACCATATAGATGTTTAGAAAAGATCTGTTCCTTAATGAGCCCAGAAAGGTAGCTGTTGCTTTCTCAGTTCTTTGAGTCTACCATAAGTTCTGCCCATTTTCTTAGTCTCTTGACCACTGTTAGACTCAGTAACATTGGTTTTAAGGCATTTTTCAGTTTTATGATTCATGGTAAAAACAATTCCAAAGAAATATAGACATTGACACAATCAGACATAACTATAAAATAACTGATTAACATATTAACATGTTTAAGAAAAGAGAAACCATGTTGGAGAATATTATCAAAAATCTGGAGTCTACTAAAAGGAATCAAATGGTGTTTTTAAATTTAATTTTTTAAAATAAAATTAACAGTCTCAATAGCAGACTAGAGAGAACTGCAGGGGATTTGTGAAGTAGAAGATAAGTCAGTAGAAAATAACCTGATTCAGGGGAGAAATAAAAAAAGAAGAAAAATTTAAAACAGCATTAGTGATTTATGGGATACGCTAAAAAGGTTTAACATTTGGATCATAATGAAAAGGTCTAACCTACTTGTAATTGCAGACTCTAACTGAAAGAAGAAAGATAATGGGAAAAAGAAATTTGTAAGACATAATGGCAAAACATTTTCAAAAATTTAATACAGTCATCAAAACACAGATGCATAAAGTGTTACAAATCTCAAACGGGAAAAATACAATAGAAACATACCTAGGTATATCAGAGTAAAACTGCTGCAAACCAAAGGTAACACAATTTTTCTTTTTCTTTTATTTATTTATAATTTATTTTTTAATTTTTTTGTGGGGTTGGTGCGACGGAGTCTCACTCTGCCGCCCAGGCTAGAGTACGGTGGCGCAGTCTCAGCTAACTGTAACCTCCATCTCCCTGGTTCAAGTAATTCCCCTGCCTCAGCCTCCCAAGTAGCTGGGATTACAGGCGCATGCCACCACACCTGGCTAACTTTTTTGTATTTTTAGTAGAGACGGGATTTCACCATGTTGGCCAGACTGGTCTCGAACTCCTGACCTCAGGCAATCCACCCACCTCAGCCTCCCAAAGTGCTGGGATTACAGGGGTGAGCCGACGCGCTCAACCACAATTTTTCTTTTTAAAGTATTCAGAGAAAGAAATAAAATTATCTTTAAAGAACCAAGATAGAAGCAAAATGTTTTCTTCCCTGAAGGAGGATGGGAAATCTCTCAGCTCCTACCATAAGCCTTGCAAACAAAATCAACATTTGTTTACCTCTGGAGAAAGGTCAGAAAGCCTTCTTGCCACTTGTCCAGACAAAAGTGAGTTGCTACTGAGGGAAAAGTAGAAGTAAAAGCAGTTTGCTCTTAGGGAAGAGGTAGAAATCCATTCAAGCTAGGATCCTGCCCTGCTACTAGGAGTCCACTAGGATAAGGGCAGAAACTCCCACCCATGACCAGTCACAAATAAAAAGTAGAGTCTGGCTGCCATGACTGGTGAGATGAGGTAGGAACACCACTTCCCAAGTCTCAGGTTTATAGGGGCTGACTAGGATGGAGGCTGGATCAGGGAAAACAAGGATATCTTTGCCCCTGTCACAAGCCTTGCACCAAGAAAAAATCAACAGCACCTATTTCCGGGAAAGAAGCCAAAGTATGGAGATACCTTGTATTACAAAGGCAATGCTACGCTTGGTAAAATTTGGGTAGAGCAGGAACACTGATTAAAATCTCCTATTTAGGTTCAACAAAGCATCATTCTTCATGGTCAGAAGAATTTGAAATCTGTGGAGCACTGCAAGTAATTATAGTAACAATACCCAAAACACCTCAACCACTTACACACATAGTCTGACAGAAGGACCAGCACCCCATTTTTAAGTATAAATACTCTATAGCCTAGTCTCTACTGTTCTTTTACCAACAATTTCCAGCATTTAATAAAAATTATATTTCAAAAGCAGCAAGAAAATACTTACTCATTGTTAAGTGAAAGCATTCAAAAGAATCAGAACCAGGAATGATCTAGACTGGATCTATCTATCAAACAGGAATTTTACCCTAACTATAATTAGGATATAGCAGAAAACATAAGCAATGTGCATGAGAACATGAGAAATTTTAGTAGAGCAATAAAACTGTTTCTTAAAGTAAAATAGAAATGCTAGAAACAAAAAAAAACAACATAAAAATAGATTATTTCTTTGATGGAGTTAAGACTATCACACAGGGAAGAGTCAGTGAACATGAGGTTATGGAAACAGAAATTATCCCAACTGGAATAAAAAGAGAAGAGTGAGTGGATAAAAATAGAACAAGCTGTACAACAACATAAAACAATCTAACAGATGTTTAATTTGAGTCTAAGAAGAAGACAGAGTAACAAGGCAAATGAAATATTTTCAGATATCATGGCTAAAAGTTTTGCAAAATCAATGAAATAAATCCCAGATTCAAGAAGCTCAGAGAATCCTAAGCAGGATAGAGAAAAAAATCATATTCAAATTGCCAAAACTCAGATACCAAAATAAAATCTTGAAGATGTGTATAGAAAAAGAAATATTATACACACATACAAAGATAAAATTACAACCCATTTATCATCAGAAATGAGGCACAGCATAAGACAAAGGAGGGCACCTTTAAAATGCTGACAAGAAAAAAACTCTCATCTAGAAATCTATACACAGTGAGAATTTCTTTCAAATATAAGCATGGAATACTTTTTCAGATAAACAAAACTGACGTACTTTATCACATGTGAGTACACTGCAAGAAATATTAAATAAAGTTCTTCAGGAAGAAGAAATGTGATACCAAATGGAAATTTGAACCTACAAAAGAAATGAAGAGTGCCAGAGATGGCAAAAATAATGAAGGCAAAAAAGATTTATTTTTATTAATTGTAAATAAGAACTGACTGAATAAAGTAAAAGTAGTAACTGTATTGTGGAGTAAAAGTAAATGTATTGTGAAGTTTATAACACACTTAGAAATAAATGCCAACAACCATAGCACAAAGATGAGAGGGAAAAAAATGGAAGTGAACCGTTGTAATATTTTTACATGTTTTGTAAAGGACTATAATATTATTTAAAATTGGACTATGATAGACTAAATATTTATGTTTTAGGCTGGGCACGGTGGCCCGCGCCTGTAATCCCAGAACTTTGGGAGTCCGAGGTGGGTGGATCACCTGCAGTCAGGAGTTCGAGACCAGCCTGGCCAACATGGCGAAACCCTGTCTCTACTAAAAATATAAAAATTAGCTTGGCATGGTGGTGGGCACCTGTAATCCCAGCTAATCAGGAGGCTGAGGCAGAAGAACTGCTGGAACTTGGGAGGCGGAGGTTGCAGTGAGCTGAGATCACGCCATTGCACTCCTGCTTGGGTGACAAGACCAAAACTGCGTTTCAAAAAAAATAAATAAAAATAAAAATAAGTTATGTTTTAAAATTTAGAGCAACTAGTAAACA
Source organism: Homo sapiens (assembly GCF_000001405.40). Lineage (NCBI taxonomy): Eukaryota > Metazoa > Chordata > Mammalia > Primates > Hominidae > Homo > Homo sapiens. Next base: position 143,994,081 of record NC_000007.14, read on the forward strand.
CATTTAAACAAAGGTATAACTAATAAGCCAATATTAGGTATAAGATGAAATTATTAAAATTAATTAATAAAAAGGCAAAAGTGTAGAAAAAGAAAACAAAAGCAAAAGCAACAACAACAAAAAAAACAAATAGCAAAATGGTACACCTAAATACACCTTCATCCTCTAATAGCAGTAAAGGTAAATAATCTAAAACACAATGATTAAAAAGCAGAGAACAACATATAGAATTGAATAGAAAGACCCAACTGTGTGCTCTCTACAATCAATGAACTCATTTTTAATATAAAATAATAAATTGATTAAATGTAAAAAGATAGTGAAGATCTACCATGCAACACTATGTCAGAAAGCTGGAGTGACTATAATAATTTCTAATAAATTCCCATAAGAAGGTATATTACCAGAATTAACATAGGATATTGTATAATAAGGGAGTTGATTTTTCAAGACAATATAATAATTTTAACAATTTAATAATAGCACTAAAAATACAGAAAGAATAGACAAACCCATCATTATTAGTGAAGATGTTAACATAATTTTCTCAGTATTTGATAGATCAAGTAAACGATAAGAAAGTCAGCAAATATGGACGACCTGAACAACACCATCAACTAGATTAACCTAATTGACATTTTTATAAAATTCTACTCAGCAATAGAAGACTACAAATGTCAACATATTTGAAATTGAAATTATACAAATATTTTCTTTTAACATAATGATATTAAATTAGAAATAAGGAAGTGATATTAAATAAGAAATAAGGAATAAACCAAAACCTCTGGAAAAATCCCCAAATGTATGAAAATTAAACTCTATACTTCTAACTAATCAATAAGTCAAGGAAATCACAAAGAAAATTAGAAAACATATTTCAAATTGAACAAAAAACAGAGCCTAGAGAAAAATGTGAAGCACTAAACGCTTTTGTTAGAAGTGTCTCAAATCAATGACTCAGAGTTTTACCTTATGAAACTAGACTGAAAAGATAAAACTAAAGACAGAAGATGCAGAAGAAACAAAATAAAATATAAAATGATGCAGAAAAACAGAAAAATAGTAGAGAAGTTCAATGAAATCAAAAGCAAGCTTTGAAAAGATCAATAACGTTGAAAAATCCGTAGTCAGACTGATCAAAACAAAGAGAGAAAACACAAATAAAGACACATACAATTAAAGAGAACACATCTCTACAGATCCTGCAGACATTAGAAACAACACTAAGGTAATAGTTTAATAGCTTTATACCAAAAATTCAAAGAACTTGAGTGAAATAGTTAAATTCCTGAAAAATCAAAAGCTGCCAAAGCCCACATAAGAGAAAATAGGTAGCCTGACTCCCTATCTATGAAGGCAATTGATTTTTTTTTTTTTTTTTGAGACGGAGTCTCGTTCTGTCGCCCAGGCGGGAGTGCTGTGGCGCGATCTCCGCTCACTGCAAGCTCCGCCTTCCGGGTTCACGCCATTCTCCTGCCTCAGCCTCCCGAGTAGCTGGGACTACAGGCGCCCGCCACTGCGCCCGGCTAATTTTTTGTATTTTTAGTAGAGACGGGGTTTCACCGTGGTCTCGATCTCCTGACCTCGTGATCCGCCCGCCTCGGCCTCCCAAAGTGCTGGGATTACAGGCGTGAGCCACCGCGCCCGGCCGGCAATTGATTTTATGGTTAAAAATCTTCCTTGTGGAAAAATCCAGGTCCAGATGCCTCCACTAATGAATTCTACCACATATAAAAAGATAATATAGTGCTACTTCTACACAAGTCTTTCAGAAAATAGAAAAGAATACTGACTATTATTTTATGAACCCAGATTTACCTGATAACAAAACCAAATATATAAGAAAAGAGGCTGGCCACAGCGGCTCACACCTGTAATCCCAACATTTTGTGAGACCAAAGTAGGCAGATGCTTGAGCCCAGGAGTTCAAGACCAGCCTGGGCAACATGGCAAACCCCATCTCTACAAAAATACAAAAAAGTTAGCCAAGTGTGGTGGGGTGCACCTGTAGTTTCAGCTACTCAGGAGGCTGAGATGGGGGGTGAAGGGGTGGCCTGCCCCTCCACACCTGTGGGTATATCTCAGCAGGTGGGATGAGAGACTGAGAAAAGAGATAAGACACAGAGACAAACTATAGAGAAACAACAGTGGGCCCAGGAGACCGGCCCTCTGTTCCCTCAGCACCGGTCTCTGAGTTCCCTCAGTTTTTATTGATTATTATTTTCACTATCTCAGCAGGAGGAATGCAGTAGGAGAGCAGGGTGATAATAGAGAGAAGGTCAGCAAGAAAACATGTGAGCAAAGGAATCTGCTTCACAATTAAGTTCAAGGGGAGGTACTATGCCTGGATGTACACGTTGGCCAGATTTATGTTTCTCTCCGTCCAAACATCTCAGTGGAGTAAAGAATAACAAAGCAGCATTGCTGCCAACATGTCTCGTCTCCTGCCATAGGGTGGGTTTTCTCCTATATCAGAACTGAACAAATGTACAATCGGGTTTTATACCGAGACATTCAGTTCCCAGGGGCAGGCAGGAGGCAGTGGCCTTCCTCTATCTCAACTACAAGAGGCTTTCCTCTTTTACTAATCCTCCTCAGCACAGACCCTTCATGGGTGTCGAGCTGGGGGACGGTCAGGTCTTTCTCATCCCACGAGGCCATATTTCAGACTATCACATGGGCAGAAACTTTGGACAATACCTGGCTTTCCAGGGCAGAGGTCCCTGTGGCTTTCCGCAGTGCACTGTGCCCCTGGTTTATCGAGACTAGAGAATGGCGATGACTTTTACCAAGCATACTGCTTGCAAACATTTTGTTAACAAGGCACATCCTGCACAGCCCTAGATCCCTTAAACCTTTATTCCGTACAACACATGTTTTAGTGAGCTCAATGTTGGGGCAAAGAGGCTAGGGTAAAGAGGTTAGGGCAAAGTTACAGATTAACAGCATCTCAGGGCAAAGCAATTGTTCAGGGTACAGGTCAAAATGGAATTTCTTATGTCTTCCCTTTCTACATAGACACAGTAACAGTCTGATCTCTCTTTCTTTTCCCTACAGGGCGGATCACTTGAGCCTGGGAGTTTGAGGCTGCAGTGAGCCATGATTGTGTCACTGCACTTCAGCCTGGGAACAGAGCAAGACCCTGTCTCAAAACAAACAAACAAAAACAAAAGAGTCCAATAACCTTCATGGACACACAACCATTCTTAATAAAATGTTAGCCAATCAAGTCCATCAAGTTACAAAAATATAATAGATTGTGACCATGGGGAGTTTATGCAGGAAATGCAATGTTGATTCAACATCCAAAACTAATTCTAATCAATGTTATTTCATTTATCAACAGACTAAAAGGAAAAACCAATTCATCATCTTAATAGATGCAGAAAAGACAGTAAATATAATTCAATACTCATTAATGACAAGGACTGTAAAAGACTAGTTATAGAAGATACTTCTTAACCAAGGATGGTGTCTAATGAATAACTTGCAGCTAACAACAGCTAACATTATGAAAGATTAATTTTCCTCTAACATTGAAAAAATGACCTGTATGTTTATACTCATCATTTCTCTTCAACTGAGAGTCCTAGCCAAAATCATAAGGTCAGGAAAAAATAAATAATAGGGATACAAATGAGAAAGAAACAAAATAAAACAATTTTAAACTTCAGGCAATGTTATTATATACATAAAACATAAAGACTCTACGATAAAGCTTGTAGACATAAAGGAGTTTGGCAAGGTTGCAAGTGGCAAAGACAATATATAAAGTAAATATATACACACACACACACATATACATATAAGTATAAAAAACACACCATTAAAAAAATGAAGTAAGGAATTCCATTTCTTCATAGCTCCATAAAAACAACTAACAAGGCCGGGCATGGTGGCTCATGCCTGTAATCCCAGGACTTTGCGAGGCCGAGGCAGGTGGATCATGAGGTCAGGAGTTAGAGTCCAGCCTGACCAACATGGTGAAACTCTGTCTCTACTAAAAATACAAAAAGTAGCCACCATGGTGGTGCGGTGCCTGTAATCCCAGCTACTCAGGAGGCTGAGGCAGGAGAATCACTTGAACCTGGGAGGCGGAGTTTGCAGTGAGTGGAGATTGCACCACTGCACTCCAGCCTGGGCAACAGAACAAGACTCTGTCTTAAACAAAACAAAACAAAAAACAAAAAACAACTAATAAGATGGCAAAAACTGTCAGAATTAGCTTTTGTTTAACTATGGATTCTAGCCAAAAGTTTAAAACAAACAATGGAAGATTAATGAAAACAGAAGCTGCCACATTGCAGTAACAGAGTTTTGGGCATTTAAACTACCCACCTATCCTCGCTCACTTCCCAGATTGGTGTCAGCTGTGAAGATAACAACCCACACTTCTGGCACAGATTTAACAATGTGCGTGAGAAAGAGCAATATGAACCTTATTCTCAAAGAAAACTGGTTACAATTTTCTAACCATTTGGAAGCCAACTAAAGGGCTTACCTTTGTGTTTCTTGAATGGAAGTTTTCCCAGGGCTGGGGTAGCTTCCTAGGTACCATTTGCTGAATGCAGTTAAAAGCAAAAGCATTGGTTGCAGCAGTCTTGGTCTAGGGATAAAAGTGGTAACAAGCAACAGACAGAAAAGATTGGGAAGAAAATAGGTTGGGGAAGAAGGTACATTGGAAAATAAGGGATTTTTTTATAACTCAGGTGTATGCCAGAAAACAAAGAAAGCCAGGTGTATATCCAGAGCAGAATGCATGCTCAGAAAAGGCCTGAGAAGGCCCTAAGATTTCACCTCTGAATGACCTTCAGGGTCTGCCCAATAACAATTGACAGCTAAAACCGAGTTGTAATGGCCAAAGTGTGGAGGTGTGCCCCAAACAGAACTAGTGTCAACCCCAACAGAGAACAATAATAAAGAATAAAATGCTCCTTATAATAAAAACAAACAACAACAAAAAAAGTGGACATAACAACAAATATACGTGGACTCCGAAAGAAGAAGGCAGATAGCCAAGGGACCTCAGGCACAACACACAGGTTCTTGGAGTTTCCCTATTGCCTCCCGTATGTATTGAACAGGAATCTGCAGAAGACTTCAACCTGAAACCAATTGGTATAGGAAAAAAAAAAAACTCCAAGGAAAGCCTGTACAGCTGAATTCTAGGATAAGATCGTGTCAACATGTCCCAGAATACAGCCAATGTTTATCTGCTAAATATCTCCATTCTAGAATTGCTTGTATAAAATGTTGACTCCAGGAGTCAAAAATGATTGTCACAGTAACTCACAGAATCTTCTCACAGTAGATGGACATTTTCTATCTTTGGAGGAGAAATGTGGTCCCCCTCAGTGACAACCATATCACAGCAGCTTAAAACCATGTTGAAAAATTGTGGTTAATATAAAATAATACATTTTAGAGAAGTCAGTTTTTCTGAGACTTGGAGATAAATCAAGGCCAGAGACTTGAAAGAGATGCCTTACTTTTATTTGCTACTACTTGGTTTTCATACTTCAGTCCTGTAAGAGAAATTGTACTGAAGGCTGCTTGCTTAATTACCATAAACATGTGTGGCTCTCCACACTGAACTGTTTATAACTTTTAATATATTCATCTACCATTGCATCAAATCACAGTGAATCTGATAGCTTTTCTTTGTGAGAGGGCAACTTAAGAGTTCTGCCGGCTACAGAAGAAGTGATTTTTAGTACACTAGAGCTTTGTACCAGAATGTGAACTATTGGTCAAATGGTACCCATGGGCAGCTGACAAAGTGACAATAATTCCATCAGGATAAATTTACTTAGTGAACAAGTTGACATAAGTATCTAAAACAAAAACTGTCATTTAAACTTGTACTAAAATGTACTAATATCAGTCTCCTTTGGGCATCAATATCACATTTGGAGCACTTGCATGATCATCCTGTTTCAAGTAAGCCAAAGATGGAAGAATATTCGAAAGTCTGTATATAGAGATTTCACTGCAGTACATTTTTCTCTTCATCTGTCAAAAAATATGGTTCTTTCCAAAGTGCGTGGTCATAAGTGGACCTTTTTTTCCTATGGAACTAATAACATATAAAACAATTAAGATCACCACAATGGGCAAATGGAAATTTCTCTTGGATCCCACAAGAGAACTGAACTGCCATTGTCAAGGTTCTTTTCTCTTGGGTCTTGGCAGATATGTAGGGAAAGTCTTGGTACTCTATAAAGCCCTCAGAATCCAAAGGTCTTCACAGCTCAGTGTGCCTAAAATCACTGCCATGTTCACCAGGAAGGTGATGGGCACCCTAGTCCCAGGGTGCTGGACGAAGCAGCCTCGTGCCACATCAGATGCAGATGTGGTCCTAGTGCCTAGGGCTCTCCTGTCATCTTATCCTGGCTTTCAGCTTGAAAGCAGTGGGGCAATCTGTACCCAGTCACTCTTTCTAGGTTTAGAAAGTGGGTTCCTCACATCTATTCAATACCTGAATCTTTTTCTTCTGCATCTTCCTATTTTAGAATTGGTGAAGGCTTTGTTTTCACATTTCATCCTATCAGAGGCTGCTGTGCCAAGGTAAGTGCTCCCTCTCAGAGCATTACTTTCTCACTATGCAGGCAGCCCTGTTTCAGGCTCCTACAGCGCAGCAACATTTAAACTCTAAAATGTTTAATGCCTCTCTGTTCTATCCACTCTCAATTCCTAGCAATCGGTCCGGATAATATTCTTGTCTCCTGAAATCTAAGTGCAGCCAGTTATGCAGTGAGCTGAGGGAGCAGGCTCCTCTTGCCACTTTGGAGACATCTCTCTGTGTGGGATCAAAAATTAGTGCCCCAGATTATGATCCCAAACTTTAGATCCCTACCATTGACCCGATGACCTGATATCCCTGTGCTGCAACCACCACATCTTCCTGGCAACTTGTTTCTGGTGGTGGCTACAAAAACTGCTGCTATCTTGGCAGGGGCGGAGGTTAAATGTTCATCAAATTCAAATTACTTGGAACCTACGTATGTATAGAACCCTGACAAAGTTGGGGAAAAGTGCATAGCAGCAGACATAAGAAACAAAGATGTTTGATTCTAGACCAGTGGTAAATCTGCTATGAGGGGTAACATGTTTGAGTATGCTTAATGGAGTAAAAACTATTATAAGTAAAAAGGCTGTACATATTTTGCAGTAAGGTGATACATAAAAATACCAGTATGCAATAATTAGTGCCAGTGCACCTTCATTCAGTTAATGAGAAATAAGGAATTCTTTGTTTTTCTTGTAGAGCTTCCTCTAGAAGTGAAAACTTATGTAACTTGTGAACAAGTATAGCTAAATATGTCCATCTTTGTTTCTTTGACAAATGTTATAAGCTAGAATGATTTTTCTCTTCTTTGTGTGTATCTTTAAGTGTATGCTATGAGGGTGCTTTCTAACGGGTCTATGAATCTCTGGTTTGGCAACCTTGTCCCATCCTAACCCATCCTCCCACATCAAAAACAAGAATATAATAAGAGGATGTTGTCATCCTGCTGACAAACAGTGATTACTTATTGTCTATACTTCAGGATAATTCTTAAATGCCTCACTATTCCATGATCTGGTCCGTGACAACAGAGTCTCTCTCTTTCTCTTTCCATCCATCTCTTTTCTGCTCATTCACTCACTCACAACTTGCCCACTCACGCAGCAATTATGAGTTGAGTTCCTGAAAATTTCAAACTGTTTCAGATCTCCGTGCCTTTGTTCACTCTGATTCATCTGCCAAAAATGCCTTTTCCTCCTCCTAATTTATATTTCAAAACATATCCAATCATTATTCTCAGATACATTTACCAAGCATTTCTATACATTCATTTCTGTTATGTGTGTCTGATTGAATATGTACTTGTATCATGTTGCTTTCTTTTTAACATTTGGGTTCATCTCTAATAGTCTCAGCTTATAATAAAATTTCAGCAGGATTAAAGAACACTTCCTAAAATAGTCAGGAATTTTAAATGTAAAATACATTGGTAAGTCCAAAATGTGATATTCTTCATCAGTGTGTTTCACTCTAGTGGTTAAGGACATGCCTTTGTAGTCGGACCTGGGCTTTATGATTCTGATTTTATCACTGTCTAACTTGGAAATATTATTTAATCTATCTAAACCACAGTGTCTTCTTTGAAATTAGAATAGCAATGTCTAATTAACATTATTTTGTGGATTAAATGGGATATTGCATGAAAAGAACTTCCCAGCACCTATTAAATACTCAATAAATTATTATTAGAAGATTTTCTGAACTGATAGTAAGACAGTTAGTAAAGATAGTAAGATAGTTAGTAAATGATGCCATCTAACTACCTTAGTAAATGGCATCACCTCTAGGTAATAAGCTCTATATTTGGGGTTCCTCCGTGATTTCTTTCTTTCTCTCACCTTCCATATCCAAGTCACCAATTACTGTTAAAGATTCTGCTTCTAACGTGTATCTTAAATCTGCTTCTCTGGAACCACAGTATTTAAGTTCACTGTCACCTATTCTGAGTAGCCTCCAACTAGTTTCATAGCTCACAGCTCATGCTCTTGCCTCCAAGGAGTCCGTTTTGCAACGACAGAGTTATCTTTCCATTGCGTAAATCATATCATGTCCCATTCACCTTTAATCTTTTGCTTGTTTCCGACTGCTTTTAGACCACTGTTCAGATCCCTGATTGTTATAACCTCTGGGGTCCTGCACCTTCTGGCCCTGGCTTCCTGCCTTCTTCCTTGGCTCCTTTCCCATCCATCACAGCATGGCAATCATATCTCCTTCAGCACAGCTCCCTACAACCTCAGCCCTTCAAAGAGCTGGGGTCCTAGAATCCTTCCCAGCCTTAATATTACCTCCTCAAAGGTCAGAGGGACCTTTCCTGATTACCTTAGTATTATGTTGTGTCTGTTAACCTTCATAGAAAATATTTCAAATTTTATAATGCATCTCTATCTTTGTTTGCTTGTCTTTAAAAATCTTCACTCAGTGATCCCCATTTTCACTCTCAAGAATGTCAAATTCCCTGAATGAGCCCATGTTTACTTTGCTCATGGCTTTGCCTTGGATCACAGCAGATCCTCCCCTCCCTCCAGTTAGTGTATTCCTACCTTCATCACTGCTCTAATATGGGGGAAAATCCCCTTTCACGATTATTGCCATTAGTTTATATAAAATTTCATTTACATTAACTCATTTGGATTTTGATCCTCAATGAAATAAGCTGAATAAATATTAATATTCACATTGACGGAAGAGAAAACTCAATCTCAGAGAGGGTAAGATTTCAAGGTCATAGCAAATCGGTGGCAGACCTTAGACTTGAATGAGGTCCAGGAGGTCTTTAATACTGAAAAGCCCAAATCTCTGCTACTCACTTTCTCATGTACCTCATAGGTGATGACAGCTACTCTCTATCTCCAGGGATGGTAGATGAAAATAATAGCATGTGAAGGATAAAGGAGTTGTAAGGAAGAACTTCCAGAGCTCTGGGTAGGTGGAGAGACAGGAAGGTCAGGTGTATCTTTTGGAATTGGCAATTGTTAGGTGTCAGATGGTGCAAGATATTAGAAGGAGCGTGGGCTTTAGACTGAGACTTGAATGTGATTCCTGCCCTGCTACCAGTGACAACGTGGTCAGTTACTTAATTCCTCTCCAAGACACGATTTCTTCATCTTTAAAACAGATACAATCACACACACACACACACACACACACACACACACACACGGCTATGTGGAAATTAAATTACGT